>NC_000007.14:145367470-145518985 GCF_000001405.40 Homo sapiens
TATTTTAATATCCCTTTATTCTTCGTGCAAAACCTTGAAATTAGCCCTCACTGTCTTCATTGTTTTGCTAGCAGAGTGTATTATTCCTTTTGGCTTGCAGTCTTTGCAATTTAACTTAATGCTTAACACGGTAGAACATGCTTCTGCCAGTTCTGCCCCTAGTATCAGTGTATATTACTGTGTAAATGAAGGAAGAAACCATGTTATGCATTCAATTTGTGTTTCCAATTATTCATCCTATCATAGGAGTCAGTATTTGTTAATGTTGCCAAAGTACAATTAAGGTCCACTAAATTAAGTCAGGAGTTTACAAGGGAGTGATTGTTCTTGACCTCATTCTCTTCCTCCATTCTGTTTTCAAATATTGGGCATGAATAAACAGTTTTAGGCACAGAAATTAACCAACAAATTAGGACTCTTTTGTTGTAAACCTAGCTAAAGTTAAGTTAAAAATTAAGTATTTCCTCATAAGGGGTGTGTCGTATGTGAGTGTGTCTGAATGCAGGTAGGTGTAGTGAAAATGGAGCTTCTGTTCTGGGAGAACCATTTGCTCAGAGGATCTCACCCACTTCTGCCCAGTTTTGTGCCTATCTTGGAAGGTCTCAGCCGTCAGTACCACTTTTCCATCATGAGAACACCAAGGATGACTGAGCACTGCAGAAGGAAATTTCAGTGTTAATCAAGCCTAGAGAAAGGTTAAGCTGTTTGTCATTAATTTGGATTGACTCAGATACAGCTGTAACGTCCCTTGACTAACAAGACTCCTAACTATACTCCTTCATGCCCTCCTTTGTTAGAGATAGGAATAGAGAAAGCCTGTCCGGGAAGTGTTGGCATTTTTTTACTACCCTACCTGATTTTGTTGGTAATCTTGGTAATATTAATAATTTAAAGAGGTAAGTGTTACTATCATATTTTCTTTTTCTTTTAAGACGTGCACTCTTTTACTAGTTATCTTACCTGGCCAAGAAGAGCACACAAAGTTAGCATCAGGAGGAATAGACTCAAATTTCAGATTTTCAACTTTATTTAAACATGTCAATTATTTTTACTCTTTCTAATCTTCTATTTCCTTGGCTATGAATTGAAAGTCTGGATTAGAAATCTCTAAGTCATTTACTATATATAAAAATTAATAATTCTTTCATCTTAATACTCACATGTAAAATATTCCTCATTTTAAATTATATAATTTATTATGCAATTAATATAGCAACCAAATTAAATATTAGAAATGAACTTTGCCATATTAGTTTTCAGATGGCCCAACATGCAAAACTATTTTGCCAGCTCTCAAAACTCTTATCTGCTTTCTTCACATTTATCAATGTTATAACAATGAAACACAGCTCAGAGAGAACATTGGTAGCCTGGAGAAGTATAAAAGGGAGATGGGTTGCATTTTCAATTTTATTAAAATTCTTATTTTCCACTAGCTATATGCTTTTTATTCTTGGCCTAATTTCCTTTTGGCTGTGGGCAACTTTTCATGGGTTTTACAATCTCTTCATAAAACACAACCGATTCCATTATCACATTACATACCTCTACAGGCATGTCATTTTTTTCTCAATTCGGAGGTAGAGAAATAAAGGCAAGAACAGTTTTCAAGGTTTTGAACTTTTCATTAAAGTGCAATTTATTGGTTTTTGCCCCTAGTCACATGTTAACCAATATGCATGATAAAATATTTCAAACATTTTTATTTACTGATTTACATAAATCACTTACATAGGTAAGAACTTTTTAAGATAATTACCAATCAGTACATTATAACATTTTAATTTTGTTTTAATTTTTGTAAATTATATATATGAATTGATACTTACTATATTAACATATCAAGGTAAAAAATTCACTCTTTGTTCTCAGCTGTGCCAAACAAAGTGTAGATTTTATAATCTCCAATCGTTGAAACTCCTCTCCACGGGATGAAAAGCAAACTTATACTTGATGAAGTTCTCTGTTTCCTGGGTTAATAAGTTTCTTTTTAGACTAAAGAGTCTACTTAAAGCTTAACTCTTTATCAGAGTTGGCTTTATGCAGTTACTTTTTCGTTGTTTGTTTTTTGCTTTTGTTTTTGAGTTGGAGTCTCATTGTGTTGCTCATGCTGGAGTGCAGTGGCGCAATCTCAGCTCACTGCAACCTCCATCTCCCAGGTTCAAGCTATTATTCCACCTCAGCCTCCCAAGTAGCTGGGATTACAGGCACGCACCACCACGTGTAGCTAATTTTTGTATTTTTTTTTGGAGAAACGTGGTTTTGCCATTTTGGCCAGGCTTGTCTTGAACTCCTGACCTAAAGTGATCTACCTGCCTTGGCCTCCCAAAGTGCTGGGATTACAGGCATGAGCCACCATGCCTGGCCTATGCAGTTACCTTTATGTTCATCATTCTCTTTAGGTTATGAGTCTTTGGCGTTTCACCCTTTTTACTGCTGCCTTCAGGATCATGACTGGGTAAGTGAGTGGGCCACTGCTTAAGGGTCCTTTGTGGGTGGGGAAGGGGTCTGGGGTTAGCATATTGCTCTTGGGATTTTGGATGCTGGCAGAATTTATTTAGACCTTGCCATGGGAGACTGAGGTTCCCCTTCCTCACCGTCTGTTGACCAAAGGCCTCTCTCTCAGCTTCTAAAGGCTGCCTTCTCATGTGCTCCCTTCATCTTCAAATCAGCACCAGTTTGCCAAGTTCTTCCCACACTCCAAATCTCTGATGCCTTCTGTCTCCTTCCAAGGTGAAAGCTATTGGCTTTTAAGGGCTTTAGTCTGACTGGATCAGGCCCACCTGAAAGTTTCCATATCTCAAGTCAAGTGATTTGGGACTTTACACCAGCAAAATCTCTTTAAAGCAGTAACTAAATTAATATTTGCAAAATTGGAATCATGGAAGTGTCATCTTCATCAGAATTTTAGCTGTCACAATGTGCCTTCTCATCCCCAAAGAATCATGTCCCTCCTGAAACCAAAATACATTTACCTCTTTCCAACGTTCTCAAAAGTCTTATTTTATGACAGCATTATTTCAGCGTTGCAAATCTCATCTGTACCTTATCAGCTCAAAATTCTAATAATCTCATCACCATCTCATCATCTACCTCATCAGAATCAGATGTGGATGAGAGGCTAGCTACCTTCCTTTCTGGCTTGGAGAGAGAATTTGTTTCCAAGTTCATTCAGATTGTTGGTGGGACTTAGTTCTTTGTGGTTGTAGGAGTAAGTCCTGCTTTCTTGCTGGCTCTCCACCAGGGCCTGCACTCTGCTCCTAGAGGCCAGTGTCACAGCATCTGTCAAGTCCCTAGTGCTGTATAATCTAACATATCCATGCTTGTGGAGCGTTTTCCAAAACCAACAACCAATTCTCTGATTTTCCAAGCACGGGGTGTTCAATAATTCAGTCTGATGCCAACACTACCTACCAGGAGTTATCATAGGCCCCACAGCTTAAGGACTCAGTCCCACAAGACTGCTACCAACTTCAGACACCAGTCGCAAGTCCTGGGCCTCCCAAACTTTTAAGTGACCAGCTATAAATCAGGGATTTCCACTACCTCCTCCTAAGGTTGAATAATTTGCTAGAATGTCTCACAGAACTCAGGAGGTCAGTTTCTGGGTTAATTATAAAGGATACAAGAACAATCAAATGGAAGAGATGAATAGGGTGAGGTATGGTGGAAAGCACACAGAATTTTCATGCCCTCTTTGGGCACACTGCCCTCCCAGCACCTAGGCGTATTCACCAACGGGAGAGCTCTTCAAACCTCATTGTTCAAGAGTTTCATAGGCTTAATCTGCAGCATCCCCTCCTTTTCCCAAAAGTCAGTAGATGGGGCTGAAAGTTTTAATACCTAGTTGGTCTTTCTGGTGACTGGTCCCATCTGAAGCTATCTAGGTACTCGCACCCTAAGTCCGCGCAGGAGCATAAACACAGGTGTGATCAAGTGAGGCTCATGAAGAATAATAAAAGATAGTCCTATCACTCAAGAAATTTCAAGGGTTTTAGGAGGTCTGTGCCAGGAGCTGGGGACAGAGATGAAACACATTTCTTACTGCAGTTGGCCCTTCGGATTCATGGTTCCACATTTGGTAATTCAACTAACTTTGGATCCCCAATTTTTCCATCTAATTGTTTTGATCCACAGTTGAGACTTGAACATCTGTGGATTTTGGTATCTGCAGGGGGTCCTGGAACCAATTCTTTACAGACCCGAAGGGCTGACCAATGACAGCACAGTATCTCATCACATTCAGTTTCTGGGGGTTGGGGCAGGACAACTTTAGCAGCCGTTTTGGAGTTCTGCCTACTGCAGGTGGGATGCTTCTGAAGGATTTCTGGAGCCCTTTCTGCCCCCTCCCCACCCCTCGCTACTCCTGATTAGCCAAGCCTCAATTCTGAATATTTGTGGATTTTCCCATAGATATCTACTAGTCCTGAAAAGCAGGAACTCAGTTCAGATTTGTTTATCCCACCTTATTTTTCTTCTTCTTACAATACACTTAAGTCTGACAGTACAGACTTTTCATTTGCTCCCCCTATTTTATTGTGAGTTTTCTTAACGTGAAACTCTGCAATTACGTTTGCCAAGTTTGGTTCTTATTAAGGTTGTCACAGGGCAGTT
Organism: Homo sapiens; assembly: GCF_000001405.40. Classification (NCBI taxonomy): domain Eukaryota; kingdom Metazoa; phylum Chordata; class Mammalia; order Primates; family Hominidae; genus Homo; species Homo sapiens. The sequence continues at coordinate 145,372,085 of NC_000007.14, forward strand.
TGGTTCTCAGGAGTAAGATGTTCAAATATGACTAGACGCTCACTTTGCTCTGATGTGGGTGAGGGAATCTAATCTCTATATCCGAAATACACAGAACATATACACGAGACAAATGGAGAGCCATATTATTGAATAAATACTGCTATGAGTAGGTAACAGGAATGAAACATAATACCCCAGGGGAAGAAATGGCTACCATCATTTATCTAGTACAATAGGTGGGAAGGCAGAGAATACGAACACTGATACTACCGGCTGGCAGGTTAAGATGGTCATGGCTTCAACTTTCACGGTGAAGTAGGAAGCAAACTGAGAATGAAGAGGATGGAAGAAGCGAAAAAAAGTTTTTTTGAATTAAACTAGAGAGAAATTAGATGAATACATGCAGGATTTTTATTGCTGTTGCATATTATATTAATTGTCCTGTAATGCTTTTACATCTGACTTCGTTTAGCTTATTTTTGACATCTTGTGGTAGAACTTTGAGACAATATATTGTTTTCCAAGAGTTTTTTCAAGTGCTTTGGTGTGCTGAAATAGTATTCTATCAGTTCCAGAAATCAGAGTATTCTCTGTGTTAGGTATTTGCTTTTTTTCTTTTTTCTTTTTTTTTTTTGAGACGGAGTCTCGCTCTGTCGCCCAGGCTGGAGTGCAGTGGTGCGATCTCGGCTCACTGCAAGCTCCGCCTCCCGGGTTCACGCCATTTTCCTGCCTCAGCCTCATGAGTAGCTGGGACCACAGGCGCCCGTCACACGCCCGGCTAGTTTTTTGTATTTTTAGTAGAGACGGGGTTTCACCGTGTTAGCCAGGATGGTTTGGATCTCCTGACTTCGTGATCCGCCCACCTCGGCCTCCCAAACTGTTGGGATTACAGGCGTGAGCCACCGTGCCCGGCCAGGTATTTGCTTTTATGCTACAACGTACGTAATTTATTTTTTGTTAAGGGCTCTTAGTCACTAGGATTAATTTTTGTTTCTAGCATAGCTTTTTCTTAGGATGTCAGAGCTCTTTGTGACTAAACTCTTAAACACTGTACATAAAGAGGAACCAAATATATCAAAGGCAAATTAATCACCATATTTCTTCCAGCAACAGAGTAATACTTTGATGATAATGGACAAGAAGAAGGAATCTTGCTATCATAAAATAATGCTGTATAAAAATTAGTCAAATCATGGAATTCAACTCGTATATAAAGTAAAAATCAAGGCATTCAAGTAAATGCTGAACTAAAAGATAATGTTGTTCAAAGTATGTCAAATTCCTAAAAACAGACTTTGGGGAACTAAGTGGTTAGGCATTTAGACACTGTACAGAAATGTTTTCTCTATCTAGTCTTATTAAGAGAAAGACATTTATAAAAAGAATTTCACAGGTATCTTCATGTTTTATTATTCTCACAATGTAGACACTAAATCTAAATGCTTACTATAATTTTATCAGTAAACTCAAAAGCTGTTGTTAAAACACCATAGATCAATAGTTCAAGCTTAGCGGCACCATTTGAGTGAGAGAGTAAATGTCTATATGTATTTGCAGTTATGTGTTAAGGAAACTACATACTATATAAAAGCTCATTAAACAAATAACATTAAATGAAATAAACAATTCTTTCCTTAGATATAATGATGTATTCTGTTATTATAAGTAAATAGCAAATTTCTATGCTATAGCCTTCTTTGCTATATGCATTTCTTTTAATTTTCCTATGAATTCCAAATTTACCAACATGAACAAATATTATCAACTCCAGTACCCTGTCCATAATTGATTTGCAGCTGCATGTTTTTTCCTTCCCCACATCCCTCTCTCTTTCTCTCTGTTTAGAAAATTATTCTTGCTTTTAGGGGCACAAAGTAGTTTAGTACTGAAGGAAAGCCAGAGATAATTAAAGCACAAATACAGATCCAGATAGACTCAAAAGGACTTAGACATTTACAACAAGTAAAGAAAATGCAAACTATTTCTAGAAAGTGGTCTAAATTTAAGTACATTAAAAATTGTATGCATATGGCTGGGTGCGGTGGCTCACACCTGTAATCCCAGCACTTTGGGAGGCCGAGGCGGGTGGATCACAAGGTCAGGAGATGGAGACCATCCTGGCTAGCATGGTGAAACCCCGTCTCTACTAAAAAATACAAAAATTAGCCAGGCGTGGTGGCAGGCGCCTGTAGTCCCAGCTACTTGGGAGGCTGAGGCAGTAGAATGGCGTGAACCGGGCAGGCGGAGCTTGCAGTGAGCCGAGATTGTGCCACTGCACTCCAGCCTGGGCGACAGAGTGAGACTCTGTCTCAAAAAAAAAAAAAATCTTATGCATATAATAACAAAACAATTCATACCACCCCAAATAATATGTACTTCTGCTAGGCAATATTTTGCTAGTGGTGACTCATAAAGCCCAGAGGCAAGGTGTGCAGGCTACATAATTTAATTACAAGTGTTTTAACAATTTTTGATTTTCCTAAAAATATTTTTAATAAATGTTGTTCACCTAGTGATCAAATTGCTATTAGAAATATTTCTGTGTGTATGCATTTAATTTTCTCTCTCATGTTTCTCAGCTAAAGTTAAGGATGATTAACTTGTACTGAACTAAGTCAAAGGTTTTAAAATTATTTCTTACAGGTTAAATAAAAGTGTGAGCAACCAGTACTTCAGAAGGAAGTACATATTTTAAATATAAACTAGAAAAATTACAAATATATATAAAGAAAATGAATTTTACTGATGACATATAGATTTATTCTTTTTGTTTTGTTTTCTGTGTGACTTTGTACATATTCATAATTACACTGTCATTGTTTGCATGCCATCTTGTTACAAGGCTTAGATATTCTTGCAGGTAAACCCCATGTTTATTGCTCTTCATATTTTGATGTGGCATACTTATGGGTTTTAGCATGTAATACAGGGACTATAAGACCTATGACACATACTGACCAATGAATGAAAAACATTTGGGATAGATACAAAGAGAACTAAACATACTTTGAAAAATACGTTTATATTGGAATCACAGCCTGTAGAAGTAGGTTGAAACTTAGGGAATGAACTTACCCAAGCTAATCTATTGCCAAGATAAAAAATTGTCACTATTCTCTATAGAATTTAAATCGACACGGGGTCTTGATGTAATATCTAAAATGCCCAGACTAAAATAAAAATTCCTTAGTCTACAAAAATCCACGGAAATATTAACTGACATAGAAAGAACAATCAACACATGCCAACACCAAGATGACGCAGATGCTGAAAATTATCTGATAAAGACATTAAAACAACTTTCCCCAAACTGCTTGAATAACAATCATGAATGTTTTTTAAACACATGCTAAAATAGAAAGTCTCATTAAAAAAGTAGAAGATATAAAAATAAACCAAATGGACAGAAAATACAATAACTGGGGGAAAAAACCTCACTGTAAGGACTAAATGGGAGAATTAAGATGACAGACAAAAGAGTGAGTGAATTTGAAAACAGATTAATAAAAATTATCAAACATGAGAAGAGTTTTTTTAAAAGGCTAGAAAAAACAAACCAAATAACCAATAAATGCACAAACAGAGCTAGAAGAACCTTTGGGTCAGTAACACAATGTCCAACATCCATGTTGCTGGAGTTCCAGAAAGAGTGTAGGATTCGAAAGTGTTTGATAAAAATGAAGAATGAAAACTTTTCAAATTTGGCAAAGACATAAAACTATAATCAAATAAGCTGAGTAAATTGCAACAGGATAAATTCAAAATGATCTACATTCAGACACATAATAATCAAACCACTCAAAACAAAGAAAAAAACTTGGAAGCCCCCAGTGGAAAATGACACATTACCTATAAAGGAACACAGATTCTAATGAGAAAAAGTCACATTAAAAGCCATGGACACCAGAACAAAGTGGTACTCCATTTTCAAAATGCTGGCAGAACTGTTAACCCAGAATGCCATAGCCACTGTAAATCAGGAATATGGGTGAAACAAATATTCTCAGATAAAGGTAACTTAAGAGAAGTTGTAGCCAGCAGAAGCGGTCTACAGTAATACTAAAGAGAAGTTTCCAGACAAAAAGGAAATTATTTTGGAAGGAAACTTGGAACATCATTAAGGAAGGACACACAACAGAAATGGCAAATACTGCATGCATATAATGGACTATTCTTATCTTGAGTTCTTTAAAGTGCATGTAATGGTTGCAATGTATATCAATATGATTTATATGACAATTATAGCATATGGGAGGATAGTAAAGATACCTATATGATGGCAATGTTTATATATTAAAATTAAAGTTGTAAAGTATCAACTGTAGACTGTAAGTATGTACTTTATTATCACTAAAGAAACCGTTACAGTTATAAAATAGTCAAAGTCACAGTACATAAATTAAAAATGGAATACCAAAAATGTTTAAATAACCTCTTGAATGAGTGAATGAAAAAAAAACAGAGGAACAAAAAGACTACAGAGAGAATAAAAGAAGAATTAAATGTTAGACTTAAATATATTGAAAATAACATTAAAAGTAAATGGACTAAAACACTTCACAAATGCAGAGCTTGACAGTATGAATTTTATTAAATATTACTCATCAAAACTGTGAAGTTTTCTACCATTAGTTTTCAAGATTTTTGTCCCTTTGTCCTCCTCTTTTGGGATTCCTATTTGATATATGTTGGTACACTTGATGTTCTCCCACAGGTCTCTGAGATTCTATGTATTTATTTCAATCCTTTTTTTCTTTTTTTATACTGGATAATTTCTATTGATCTATATTCAAGGTCATTGATTATTTCTTATGCCACTTTAAATCTGCTATTAATTCCATTTAGTGAATTGTTTATTTTAGTTTTTATGCATTTCAACTCCAGAATTTCCATTTGCTTCTTTTTAATAGTTTCTATTGCTTTATTGGTGATCTCTATTAGTTAAATCATTGTCACTATATATTTCTTTATTCCTTTAAACTTGGCTTCTTTTAATTATTTAAAAATTATTGTTGTAGCTCTTTGTTTTCCTCAACCTCTCTTTATTCACATAACAATATACATTGGAGATTGCTCAAAGTATATTTTTTCTTTCTTTTTCTTTGATTTATGTGTAATTCACATAACACAATTAACAATTTTAAAGTGTATAATTCAGTGGCATTTAGGACATTCACAATGTAGTACAACTACCACCTGAGTCTAGTTTCAGAACATTTTTCTTACACCAAAAGGAAACTCCATACCCATTAAGCAGTCCTTCCCTGTGTAATTCTGTTTTGCATTGATATAAAATAATAACTAAGGCCGTGTAATTTATAAAGAAAAGAGGTTTACTTGGCTCATGGTTCTGCAGGCTTTGCAAGAAGCATGGCACTGGCATCTGCTTCTGGTGAGGGCCTCAAGAAACTTCCAATGATGGCAGAAGGTGGAGGGGAAACAGGTATGCCACATGGCAGGAGGGGGAGCAAAGGAGAAAGGAGAAGAGGTGCTATGTTCAACAACCAGCTCTTGCATGAATGGAGTGAGAACTCACTCATTACCATGAGGGAGGGCACCAAGCCATTTATGAGGGATCCACCTCTGTAACTCAAATACTTCCCACCAGCTCCAACCTCCAACACTGGGGATTAAATTTCAACATGAGATCTGGAGAGGACAAACATCCAAACTATATCACTCCCAATTATTCACCCTCCGGCTTCTAACAAGCAGGGATTTGCTTTCTGTCTATAGATTTGCCAATTCTGTACATTTTGCATAAATGTTTGGCTTCTTTCACTTAACACAGTTTTTAAAAGTTCATTTATATTGTAACATGTAGCATTTCTTAATTTCTTTTCATGGTGTTGTAGCTCTTTTAAAGTCTTGACTGCTAATCTAACATCTCAGCCCACTCAGTGGCAGTTTCTGCATATTTATCTTTTTTTCTGGGGCAGGGGTCACATTTTGCAGTTTCTTTGGATAGCTCATAAAATCTTGTTGAAATGTGCATTTTAGAAAATATTTTAGCAACTTTGGATCCTTATTTTTTTTTCCTTGAGCATTACTGTTTTTGTTATTTTGTTTACTTATTAACCTGGAAAGTAATTTGCCTCGACTGGTCTATGGACTCTCTCTGCTGTGTTGTATAGTCACTGTATTATTGCTTTGTAAAAAAATATTCTAGTTATCATTTTACTTAGTTTTCTAGAGGTGTTCACTTCTTTGTGGTCAGCTACTGATGCATTATAATTTGTAATGTGCTGAAACATCTTAAGAAATAAGGTTCCACCCTCTGCTGATGTATCAAAATGTGGATGTGAAAGTGCATTTGAATTTCAGGTAATTTTTCAGCTTACCTCAGTATTTAGTTTCGTTTGGTTCTCTCAGATCTTTACTATGTGTGTACGTACCTGCACAGAAAGCCCAAGGCTTGTGAAAGATCATAAGGACCCTGAAAATTTCTGGCAATTTCAAGATCTTGTTAAATTTCTGGCCATTCCTCTATTTTACTGTATCACCTAATGTGGAATGCAATCAGGCTAAGGGAGCTGTTGGCTTTCCCCAATCATTATCTAATGAATTTGCTACTTGTACTGACAATGCCCCTGAGTGTCAGGGCTCTACCTGCCAGTCCAAATTAAGTCAGCCCCCCTCTGGCTACTTTGCCTCTGTTGTTCATAACCAGCCATGGCCTTGCAGAATCACCATGCTGTCCAAGTTGCTATGGTGACTGTGGAAGCCTCAGGCACAAATGCCCTAGCTACCCACAGGTCTTACCTGAAGTTTAGCAGTTTTTTTTTTTATTTATTTTCTTTTAGTAAATAAATGTTTCTCGTTGTGTTTCTTGCCTTAAGTCGATTCCCATGTACTTGATACAATTATTTTGAACAATTTCATCCAGTTTGATAACTGTTTTGAGGGGAGAAATTCACCAAACTTCTTACTTTTTTCAGAGATGAAAGTCGTATCCTCTTTAATGTTATTTTTGTCTAATATTGAGTTCATTCTCATTAGTAACCCCTTCCAATAGTTGTTATTACTGTTTTTTTTTGTCTTGCTCTGTTGCCCAGGCTGGAGTACAGTAGCGTAATCCTGGCTCACTGCAACCTCCACTTCCCAGGTTCAAGCCTAGCTAATTTTTTTATTTTTAGTAGAGACGAGGTTTCTCCATGTTGGTCAGGCTGGTCTTGAACTCCTGACCTCAGGTGATCCACCTGCCTCAGCCTCCCAAAGTGCTGGGATTACAGGCATGAGCCAGCATGCTCAACCTACTATTGTTTTTCTTAATGCTATGAATACAGCCAATGTTAATTTGGGCTTATCCTTATCACTACCAATTATTTTCACCATTGCTTATTTTCTGAATTAATTTTTTATTTCTTTTTCAAGTACAGCCTTTAGTAGTTCCCTCAGGGAGGTTTTCAGTCAATTCTCAGCAATCCTGAGATGTTTACTTATGGGCTTTTAAATTTTTATTCAAATATAAATACCTCCACTGAAGGTATCTTCCCCCTGTTTACAAAGCCCTGTTACAGAATCATCTTCCTACTGAATTCAGCACCAACATCATTTTTCTTATGCTCTCAGAAAATCCAGAAGGAATGAATCAACTGGTCTAGATCAGGGTTCATTACCTGGCAAGCTACAGTTGGAATACACTAGGTAGTGAATGTATTTTGTGTGGGAGGCATAGTGTTAGTATTTTTAAAATTTTATCTTTCATTGCTACATAATATTTGTACATATTTATGGGGTACATGTGATATTTTGTTACATGTATAGAATGTGTAATGATCAAGTCAGGCTACATAGGACATGCATCACCAGGAGCATTTATCATTTCTATGTGTTCAGAACATTTTAAGTCCTCATTTCTAGCTATTTTGAAATGTACTCCACATTGTTGACTATAGTCACCCTAATCTATTATCGAACATTAGAATTTATTCTTTCTATCTGAAAGTATGTTGGTACCGATTATTCAACCTCACTTCATCTCTCCTACCAACACAAATCCATATATTTAACAGCCTGCGGTAACTATCATTGTACTCTTTACCTACATGAGATCATTTTTTTTAGCTTCCGCATATGAGTAAATACATGAGATATTTGTTTATCTGTGTCTGCATTACTTAACATAATAACCTCCAGTTCCATCCATGTTGCTGCAAATGACATGATTTCATTCTTATTTGTGGCTGAGTAGTATTTCGTTGTGTAAATATACCACATTTTCTTTATTCATCCACTGATAAATGTTTAGGTTGATTATATATCTTTGCTATGGTTAATAGTGCTACAGTAAACATAGGGGGCACATGTATCCCTTTGATGTGCTGTATTAGTTCATTCTCACACAGCTATGAAGAAATACCCAAGACTGGGTAATTTATAAAGGGAAGAGGTTTAATTGACTCACAGTTCAGCATTGCTGGGGAGGCCTCAGGAAACTTAAAATCATGGTGGAAGGCAAAGGAGAAGCAGACACCTTCTTCACAGGGTAGCAGGACTGAGTGAGTACAAGCAGGGGAAAGGCCAGAAGCTTATAAAACCATCAGATCTCCTGAGAACTCACTCACTATTATGAGAACAGCCTGGGGGGTAATAACCCCCCATGATTCAATTACCTCCAACTGGGTCCCTCCCACGGCACATGGGCATTATGTGGATTACAATACAAGATGAGACTTGGATGAGGACACAGCCAAACCCTATCATATACTGATTTCTTTTCTTTTGGTTAGATACCCAGTAGTGGCAATGCTGGATCATATGGTAGTTCTATTCTTAGTTGTTTGAGAAACTTTCATACGGTTCTCTATAGTGGCTCTATTAATTTACATTCATACTAACAGTGTATGAGAGTTCCCTTTTCTCTGCATCCCTATCAGCATTTGCATTTTTTTTTGTAATTTGATAATACAGTTCTAACTGCGGCGAGATGATATTTCATTGTGGTTTTGATTTACATTTTTCTGATGATTAGCAATATTGAGTGTTTTTTCACTTACCTGTTGGGCATTCATATGTCTTCTTTTGATAAGTGTGTATTTAGATCCTTTTCCCACTTTTAAATAAGATTGTGATTTGCTATTGAGTTGTTTACAAACTTACATATTCTAGATTTTAGGCCCTTGTAAGATGAATAGTTGCATCTATTTTCTCCCATTTAACAGATTACCTCTTCAATCTGTTAAATGGGAGAGTGTTTCCTTTGCTGTGCAGAAGATCTTCAGTTTGATGTAGTTACATTAGTTTATTTTTGTTTTTGTTAATTTTTATATATTTAGAGAGATAGTCATCTAGTTTCATTCTTCTGCATATGGATACCCAGTTTTCCCAGAACTGTTTGTTGAAGAGGATTTTCTTTCCCCAGTGTATGTTCTTGGCATCTTTGTGAAATAGCAGTTGATTTGTGAAATAGCAGTAAATATGAGGGTTTATTTCTGGGTTCTTTAATTTGTTCCATTGGTCTCTGTGTCTATTTGTATACCAATATCCTGCTCTTTTTGTTACTATGGCCTCATAATTTCAGGTAGTGTGATGCTTCCAGCTTTATTCTTTTTTTCTCATGATTTCTTTGGCTATTCAGGCTCTTTTTTGGTTCTATACAAATTGTAAGATTGCTTTTTCTGTTTGTGTGAAAAATGTCATTGGTATTTTGATAGGAATTGTGTTGAATCTGTAGATGCTTTGGACAGTACAGTTATTTTAACAATATTAATTATTCTAATCTACGAGCATAGGATGTCTTTCCATTTGTGTTCTCTTCAATTTCTTTCATCAGTGTTGTGTACTTTTCCTTGTAGATGTTTTTCACCTTATTAATTAAATTTATTTCTAGGCATTTTATTTCTTGGTACCTATTGTAAATGTGATTGTTTTCTTGATTTCTCTTTCAGCTGGTTTGTTATTGATGTGTAGAAACACTACTCATTTTTATATGTTGATTTTGTATCCTTCATTTAATCTTTATTTATCAGATCAAAGAATTTTTTGGCTGAATCTTTAGGTTTCCTAAGTATAAGATTATATTGTCTGTAAAGAGTGACAATTTGATCCCATCTTTTCCACTTTGGATGACTTTTATTTCTTTCTTTTTCCTGGTTGTTCTGGTTCGAACTTCAAGTAATATATTGAACAGGAGTGGTGAAAGTGAGCATCCTTGTCTAGTGTCGATGCTTAGAAGAAAGGCTTTCAGCTATACCCATTTTAGTATGTTAGTTGTGGATTTGTCATATATGGCTTTTATTATTTTGAGGTATGTTCCTTCTATGCTTTGTTTAGCATTTTTGTCAGGAAAGAATGTTTTTATCAAATGCTTTTTCTGTATCTATTGAAATGATCATATGGCTTTTTTTCTTTATTCTGTTGATGTTATGTATCAGGTTTGTAGATTTCTGTATGTTGAACCATACTTGCATTCCTGGAATAGATCCTACTTGATAGGTGTATTATATTTTTGATGTGCTGTTGGATACAGTTTGCTAGTGTTTCATTTAGGATTTTTGCATCTATGTTCACCAGGGACATTGGCCTGTAGTTTTTTTTCTTGTGTCCTTGTTTGCTTTTGGTATCAGGGTACTACGAGATTCATATAATAAGTTAGAAAGAATTTCCTTCTCTCCAATATTCTGTGATAGTTTAAGGATAATTTGTATTACTTCTTTACATGTTTGGTAGAATTTGGCAGTGAAGTGATCTAGTCCTTGGCTTTTCTTTGTTGAGAGACTATTTATTACTGATTCAATCTTGTTACTCCTTATTGGTCTGTTCATGTTTTTAATTCTTCTCATTCAATCTAGTAGGTTGTATGTGTCCAGGAATTTATCCATTTCTTCTAGGTTTTCTAGTTTGTTAGTGTTTAGTTGTTCGTAGTAGTCTTGATGATCTTTTGTATTTTTGTGGTATCAGCAGTAATGTCTCCTTTTTAACTTCTAATTTTGTGTATTTGGGTCTTCTCTCTTGTTTTCTTGGTTAGTCCACCTAGTGGTTTTTCAATTTTATATATCTTTTTGATAAACCAAGTTTTCATTTTGTTTATTATTTGTATTGCTCCTTTTAGTCTCTGTTTAGTTCTGCTCTGATCTTTTTTTATCCCTTCTACGAATTTGGGGTTTGGTTTTTCTTGCTTTTCTAGTCCCTTGAGGTACATTGTTAGGTTGATTATTTGAAACATTTCTACCTTTTTGATGTAGGGATTTATTACTATAAATTTCCCTAGTAGCACCACTTTTTTTTCTATATCTTGTAGGTTTTTGTATATTGTTTCCATTTTTGTTTGTTTCAAAAAAAAGTTTTGAGTTTTGTTTTAATTTCTTCACTGACCCAGTGATTGTTCAAGAGCATGTTGCTTAATTTCCATGTATTTGCGGAGTTTTCAAAGTTTCACATGTTGCTGATTTCTTGTTGTATGCTATTGTGGTCTGAGAAGATATCTGAGAGGATTTCGATTTTTAAAAAAATTCTTGAGACTTATCTTGTCTAACATATGATATCTCTTGGGGTATTTATCATATGCTGATGAGAAGAATGTGTATTCCTGCATCTGTTGGATGAAATGGTCTGTAAATGTCTGTTTAGATCCATTTAGGCTAATGCAGTTTGAATCCAATGTTTGCTGATTTTCTGTCTAATCAATCTATTCCAAGGAGTGGAGTTTTGGAATCCTCAACTACTATCTTGCTGGAGTCTATCTATCCTTTTATATCTATGAATATTTGCTTTATATATCTGAGTACTCCATTGTTAGGTGCATTATGTGGTTTGGATGTGTCCTTACGCAAATCTCACCTTGAATTCCCACCTGTTATGAGAGGGACCCTATGGGAGGCACCATGTGGGAGGTAACTGAATCATGAGGGCAGATCTTTCCCATACTGTTCTCATGATAGTGAATAAGTCTTATGAGATCTGATAGTTTTAAAAAGAGGAGATCCCCTGCACAAGCGCTGTCTCTCTCTCTCTCTTTTTTGCCTGCTGCCATCCATGTAAGACATAACTTGCTCTTTCTTGCTTTCTACCATGATTGTGAGGCCTCCCCAGCCATGTGGAACTGTAAGTCCGTTGAAACTCTATCTTTTGTAAATTGCCCAGTCTTGGATATGTCTTTATCAGCAGTGTGAAAACAAACTAATATAGTACATTTATATTTGGAATTGTTAAATCATCTTGATGAATTGATTCCATTATTATTATATAAATACTTTCTTGATATCTTTACTATTTTTGACTTAAAGTGTGTTTTATCCTACATAAGTATATGAATTCTTGCTTGCTTTTGCTTTTTGAGTAGATAGGTTTTTTTTCCATTCCTGTACTTTCAGTCCGTATGTGTCTTTAGAGGTGAAGTGAGTTTGTTGGACACAGCATATAGTTGGGTCATGTAGCATATAAATTTTAAGTGGAAAGTTTAATTCGTTTACTTTCAAGGTAATTTTGATATGTGAGAATGTATTACTGTCATTTTGTTAATTGTTTTCTTGTTGCTTTGTATATTCCTTGTTTCTTTCTTTCTCTCATCGTTTATGGTTATGGTTTGGTAGTAATAACATTTAAGTTCTTCCTCTTCCATATTGGTATGTTTTCTATACCAGTTAGTTTACACTTTCAAATGTTTTCATGACTGTGAGTATCTCTGTTTAGCTTTCAGGTATAGGATTCCCTTGAGCATTTTCTGTAAGGACATTCTAGTGGTAAAAAATTCTCTCAGTTTTTGCTTATCTGGGAATCTTTATTTCTCCTTCTCTTATGATGATAACTTTGCTGGAAATGGTATTCTTGGTTACCAGTCATTTTCTTTCAGCACTTTTAATATATTGTCCCATTCTCTCCTGACCTGCCAAGTTTCTGCTGAGAAATCTGTTGTTAGTTTAATAGGGTTTCCTTTATATGTGAGTATATGTGAGTAGATACTTTTCTCTTGCCGTTTTTGCAATTCTCCTTTCTTTGGTCTTTGACAATTAGACAATAATGTGCCAGGGAGAAGTTCCTTTGGGGTTGTATCTATCTGGGGACACCTGAGTGTCCTGTGTCTGGATGTGTAAGTCTCTTACTAGTCTTGAAAATTTCTGGGGTGTTATTTTTTCAGTTTTTTATGCCATTAAACTTCTTTTCCTTTTCTGGGAGACCCCAAATTTAGATATTTTGTTGCTTTATCATGTACCATATATCATGTAGGCTTTCTTTTTTTTCATTTTTTAAAAATCTGGGTAGGTTATTTCAAAAGACCTGTCTTCAAGTTCTGAAATTCTTTCTTCTGCTTCATCTAGTCTGTTATGGAAATGTGCAATTGTATTTTACATTTCATTTATGAAATTCTTTAGTTCAAGGATTGTGTTTTATTCTTTTCAATAATATCTATCTTTTCTCGAATTTCTCATTCATATTCTGAATTTTTTTCTGATTTCTTTGTATTGCTTATTTGTGTTCTCTTGTATCTCACTGAAATTCTTTAATATCATTATTTTGAATTTTATCTCAGGTATTGAGTACATTTCTTTTTGTTGGAATCTGTTGTTTGAGAATTATTGTGTTCCCTTGGAGGTGTCATTTTTGTTGTTGTTGCTCTTTTATGTTTCTTGTAGCCCTTCATCGATGTCTGTCCCTGAGGTGTAACAGTTACTTCTTCTAATTTTTTTGAATTGACTTTCATTGGAGATGAGTTTTTCCTGTAGATCTACCTGTGGTTTCATTTTTGTAGGGCACTTTAGCTTTGATTTTGGATCCTGGCAGTAGTGTAGTTTTTATATGATTGCTTTGGCTGTAAACAGTACGAGTGGTGTCTGACTTTTTCAGTGATTTAGCGTGCAGATGTTAGTGAAGGCTGAAAGGAACTTTTGCTGGGAATGGTACACCATGTGGGCCAATCTTCAGGACCCCATGGTGGCAGCAATAGGCCAAGTATGCCTATCCTTGAGCCCCGGTCTGTATACATATACACTGGCACTAGCGGGTCCAGGCAGGACTATCCTTGGGCCTCCAAATGCTTGCTTGAGTGCCAGAAGTGGAAGCAGGTGGTCAGGTAGGTTGGGGAGTCCTTGGACCCCTGAGCAGTGTGTGTGATGTGGGCTGTGATAGTAGTGGTAGTGGGACAAATGCTTGGGCTTTCAGGTGGCACCTGCTGATGTTAGTGGTGGCTGTGACAAGCCAGCCATGTCTGTCCTCAAGCCCCCAGGATAAGCTTCCAGATGCCAGCAGTGTTGAATAGGATGCGGCAATCTCCAGGCCTCCCGACAAGCATGCTTGGGTATCAGTAGCAGTTATTTCTGGACTTGTTCTTTGGCTCCCTGGTGATCTGCATGTGTGCCCAGTGACCAACTGGGCGGGTTGATCACTGGACCCCCAGGTAGCAGGCTTGGTCACTGTCCTCAGGATCCCCAGTGGCAAACACAGGTGCAGGCTGTGGTGAGCAGGGCAGGGTGATCCCTAGGCCCTGGTGGTGTGCTTGTGTGGTGGTGGCAGCAAAAGCAGTGAGTGTTGAAATGTTGTCTCTAGGGCACATGCACGTATGTGGCAGCTCTGCTGTTGAGGGGGCAGCATTGCCGTTAGTGACAATGGCCCCACAGAGATAAGTTTTAGACTCTGGGGATTATGCATTTAATTTTCCAGTGGTGACAGTGGCTGCAGGAGATGGTGAATAGAGTCTGTCCCCAGAGTACTTGGACATGGGTGGCATTCCTGTTGCTGGAGGGAGGCAGGGTTGCTGTTGGTGATAGTGGCCCAAGACATGTGGGTTTCAGACTCTGGGGAGTATGCTCTTTGTTTGTTTTTGTCCTGGAAACAGCCTCTTTATTGCTCTGCACTGCCCCTCTCCTGGCATGTAGGAAACTATGTGGGCTAGATTGCTAGGGCCCCTACCGCTCTGCTGGGTCTAACCAGCATCTCACCACTATAGCCCTCCAGATGGAGGTAGGAGGATGTCAGTGGGGCTTTAGGGATGTGGAGATACACAGGCTCTTGGGCCTCATGTCAGGATGCAGTCTGCTGGGGTTTGGGCTCACAAAATGGCCCTTTGCTGCAATCGTATGGGACTCAGGGATGGTGTGGGACCCAGTGTGAGCTCCCTTTCTGGAGCAATACCATCATGCAGACTACAGGGAAATCCCTATGCCAGTCTCAGAGATTACAGGGGTTGAGGGACTCTCCTGCAGCTAGGAGTACAGAAGTCTGCAGTGGGAATGTGAACCACTGCAGATCTCTTCTTGCCCTCTCCTTGCACTGGGGAGCCTCTATGGGCTTCCAGCCCATTGCAGCTGGGCTGTCCCTATCACCTCCCTCTTCCCAGGTTTCTCAAGTATTTCCTGCCTCTTCTCTGCTGAATCCAGTACTCTCTCTTAGATGTTTTATTCAAAGTGTGATTATCTACTCAGTATTTTGGCTCTTCTTTGTGGAGGGGTTGAGTGTCCTGTGCCCCTAGTTAGTCATCTTGGAAGACCTCCAACATTATTTATAAATACATTTAAGTATTTAAAATACTGAAATTTAAAGCACTCTACAGACCTAATAACCAGGCAAATTCATACATTGACATAATTTGCTTAGTGTCTGCAGTAATCAGGTTTTGTGCCAGTTAGATTAGGCTGGGGTTTCTTAATAGTGATTTAGCTCATACCTTTATGGGGGCATTTAGAAAGCATGTAAGAGGGTATAGTGTTAACAATAGTTGAAGACTGGGGATGTTAGATGTTCTGCAATGTAGGCAGCACTTCTGATTAGCAAAATCTTGCTTCTTTAACTGTAGAGATAACTTCTCTACAGTTATTTCTGCAAAGGTGAGAAATATATTTATGTTTGAGGTGAAAATTCAGCTCCATAGTAAAAATCAACATAAGAAATAGTTTTTGTATTGTTTTTATGTACATTTGTAGGAGTGCAAATGTTGTATAAATTGAGAAAAGAGGTACTTTGTTTTGCTAAGTATACTATGAAAATTTGATTACCATTTTGACAAATTATGAAAACAATGACATTCTAATTCACGAATTTTAAATGGCCAATGCAACATGCCTGTAACAGACTGTACTTGTAGCTATAGCACTGGGGAGATTACACATAAGTAAAATCATCTGACTATTTCATTATATGTTTTAGTGTACTCATGCTCAAACATTAAAATGATCTACATATTATTTGATTATAAATGAATTTCCTTTTATTTCACGTTTATTATGCAGTAAGGCCACTATACTGAATTAAAAATTCATATGTAAGTAGCTTTTTATCATTTATTAATTCATTTCAGAATAACAACTAGAGTGTTATAATGTGTTTCTTACAGTAAAAATGTGCATTGTGTTTAAATAGGTTGTGAATCATGGCATAGACCTTCTGATATGTGTTTGTTTCAGTTTGTTTCCCAGATTTCTTACAATTTTGAAGAGGATTTTGTGGATGGGTTGGAGATCAGACTAAAATATTAACAAAGGAATTCTAGTTTTTCTGTTAGGCAGTGGATCCATACATTTAAATGAACTAAGGCCTAACCCACTTTCTATGGGAAGGATGAGAAAAATGACCTTGTTGTTTTTTATTGAAAAACCTACAACCAAAAGCAAACATACAAACAAGACCCCAATTAATTTATCAGTAGCTTATTTTAGTGGAATTACTGATACTAGGGTAGAGGTTAAAAGTACCAAATATTAGTCATATTCCTTTCATAGGTCAAGTAGCAAATAGATATATGTAATAATTTCTATACAATTTGAATATAAATTTGATAAAATAAAGCATCCAGTTTAGATAAAACTCTAAAACAAAACATCATTAACTTAAACCTCATTTCTTATAAAATTTTTAACCAGATGGATCCTGAAATTAAATGTAAAATTTTAAACTATGTGAAACCATTGGAAAAAAGAAAATATGGGAAAATCTTTGGGACCCAGGGTTATGTAATGAAGTTTTAGAAGTAATACTAATTCTTTGAAGAAAAATTGATAAATTGCATATCATCCTGATTTAAAAAAAAAAACACCTTTTGGTCTTTGAAAGACTGTAAAGAGGATGAAAAGAAAAGCCACAGAATGGACAAGTCACAATACCAAATGCTGGTAAGGATGCATAGAAACTGGATCATTCATACATTGCTGGTGAAAATTCCAGCCACATTGTCAGCCCCTCTAGAAAACCATTAGGCAGATACTTATAAAACGAAATATCTACATAGCCAGGACCAAGACTAAGGTCAGGTAAGTGAGGCACTCACCTCTGGTAAATGATTTAAGGAAGGGTGCCAAACATCAGTAATTAAGATAAACGGCACTTTAATGCAATATTTTAAAAAATAAAAATTAATGCAAAAAAACCCACGATGAACAAACTTCAAAATTTTAAATGAAGATAGGATTATGTGATCCAGCAAATACACTCCTGGAAATTATCCCGGAAAAATGAAAACATGTTCACACAAAACCTGTTCATGAATGTTCACAGCAGCTACGGTCCCAAACTGATATTATCACACAAATGTCCTTCAAAAAGATAAAGGGTTAAACATATCGTGGTACATCTACACAATGGAAACGCTATGTAGTAATAAAAAAGGACAAACTGCCAATGCACATTACAAGTTGGATGAATTTCAAAGACATCATTTTGAGTGAAGAAAGCCAATCACGTGTTTGAAGGTTTTTTTTTTTTTTAAATAAAGAATACCCCTTCAGTGATTAGAAGAGACCCAAGATGGAAATAAATATTTTATTAATTACAGGTCCTGGGAGTGAATGACATGCCTGAAGGTCACATGGAGGTTGGTCAATGAAAAAAGAGAGGGAGGGACCCACAGGCCAGTGCCTTTACTGGGGCCCAGGGCATGATCTCAATAGGTTTCCTGTGGGAAGCTTTAATTGATGAGTTTAAAGAAAGCAGGCACAACTTTTAGGAGGTCACCCGTGACTGAGAGGTGGTCATTGTGGCATATCTGCACAGTTCATATGGGGTATGAGGGTTAGCAGGGCCAGTCAAGTAAGTTGTAACTAGCTGTCTCATGGGAAGGTGGTCACCAGGAGGCAGTTGTATAAGACAAATGTTTGGACCCACCACACTGGGGACCTGGGGGAGGAGTAGAGCTGGAAACTGTCAAGGGTGACTAGGCCCTGCTTGTGGTTTGAGAAAGTTAAACCTACATTCACAATGGTGGCTGACACAACATAAAATTATATGAATTCACTATATAAAAAGTGACATAGAAGCCAAATTCTCAAGGTTACCCAAGAAAAGGAATAAATTTAGTAACAAAAGAGATACCATGTTTTTCTTGCATATATTTGCAAGAATATATTAATTTGTTATTAAAAAATTACTAGTGTATTGGTCCCTCCTCTAGTTCTTAGCATGACAACAGAATCATATGAAGATGTTTTTCCTTCCTAAAGCATATTTACTATTAAAAATTGAGTGCATTAGGCTATTTGAATACGAATTACTGAAATAAAATTAAGAAATTGCTTTCAAAAAATTTGTATGCTATGTGATTCCATTTATAGAAAATTATTGAAATAAAATCATAGAGATGGAGAGAAGTTCAGTAGTTGCTAGGGACAAGAGACAGTGGCTATAAAGGGGTAGCTCATGAGAGCTTCTTTGCAGGGATGGAACAGTGTAATATTTTTATTTTCATGGTGGTTACACAAGCACATACATGTGATAAAATTGTATAGAACTATACACACTCACAAAGAGTGCATGTAAACTGGTGAAATGTGAATAAAGTCTGTCATTTAGTTATCGGCATTGACTCAATGACAGTTTCTGGTTTTGACATAATACTATTAATTATACATGTTGTTAACATTAGGGGAAGCTGGGTGAAGATGAACAGGACTCTATTATTTTTGCAACTTTTAGTGAGTCAATAATTGTTTCAAAATAAATAGTTAAAAAAGAATAGAAGGATAGTTTCTTAATAAATGTATCTCGACTGGTTACATCATCAATGTGGAAACACCCCTAAATAGTTCTGCCTAATGTGGATCCTATTTAGTAGACTTCAAAAAGAGCTATTCTATTTTATAAATATACTTTGTATTGCTTCAGATGGTATGTTTCCTTCCATAGTGCTGCATGTTTTCAGAGCTCTTGTAAAGAACTCTTTCACCTCTGGGTGAATGCACTACATTAACCAAATTCGGAGTCAGAGAAAAGCTCTGCTCACAGCAGGCCTCAGCTGCTTTGCCTCACTGGAAGGAACTAAGGGTTGCGCCCATGAGAGTTGGATGTTTTGAGTCAGTGTAATGGTGAAGACTGAGCGATCAACACAGGAGAAAAGGAGATGATCCCAAATCTGAAAGAGTAAACATGACCAGTTACATTTAAAAAGATACTAAATTGCTTGCAAGATAGTGAAGGTGTTTGAATTATAAATTGGCATCATTAAGACACACCAAAAGATTTAAAGAAAACTTTCATTATTTTAGTGTCTTTGTTAGAATTATGAAGGCTACAGAGAAGCTCTTCTTTTTCTCATGCTTTAGTAACATGTTAAAGGTACTTTCATTCACTGCTGTAGTCATTCATAATTTAGTTCATATTTTAACAACTGCAAGAAAGACATCTTCAGGTGAACTTGCATTGTCTTCAATATGAATTTTAGAAAGTAGTGTTAGCAGAATGAGAATTATACCCAAAATAAAATTTCTTAAAAAATGATAGAATAGGTTTATTAAAATAAGGCCAATTATAGCTCTTTGCATAGTTATAACAAAAGTAAATGTATTTTATGTATGATTGCATAAATTTCCCCAGGATTATAAAAGTTTTGCAAATGGCATCTCCTCACTCTAGTTTTCAGATGGTGGTAATTAGAGAAGATAATTATTTAGGAAATTTCTGTGTCATTATGAATAGAATTAGCTAAACAAATCATGGTTTCCTTTTGGGAATAAAGATAGGAGAATTCTAAGGACAATTCTTCTAGCATCAGAAATGGTACTATTACGTCCTGCCACAGTTTTTTAACCTTCTCCAAAAATTGATCACCCTTCAATGGTTTGCTCAACATTTAATTAGTTAGATGAACTGAGAAACATATTACCCATCACTAAAAGTTTTATTCCTGTTCAAATAAGAAATTTTTTACTGTAAATTTTCTGAACAGCTTCTCAGGAGGAATTTTAAGATCGATCTATCTATCATCTATCAATCAATCAATCAATCTATTTATCTACCTTATCTAATCACACACATTTGCAATCTTCATCTGCCCCTAGTACACCACCACTACACCATCCTTTCTGTTTCTTTATTTCTCAGGCTGTCAGCTGCTTGGAAACAACAATTTAAAAGGCAGTCATCTGGCCAGTGCATTCTGTATTACATACGTTTGCGTGTGATTCCATTTATATTTGCCAATTGTGCAAGATGTCATGTATGGAAAGCTTATTAACTGATATCCCATTTCCAGTATATTCCACTGATACAAATTTGCATACTGGAAAGCTGCTAGTAAATTAATCCTTAATTTTGTCTTCTTTCTGCCCTTGGTTGTTTTTCTTTATTCTGTTTATACTATGAAATTGTTTATTGTGTAGGAAGTAGAGAGAATAAGAGCATGAAGAAGCTGTGTAGATGGCTGCGTAGCTGGTTACTTGGCTGTACCAAAGTGATGTTATTTATAGGGACTCTGGAAGTTCAGAATTATACTATGCCAAGCTGCCAGCAAGCCTAATTCTCAAGAAACTCTAAGCAGTCTTGTCTAGCCAGTTGCTAAGGATGCAGTTACTAGGAGAGGTGTAGAGCTGGAAACTGTCAAGGGTGACTGGGTCCGGTTTCTGGTGTAAGGAGGTTAAACCTATACTCACATGGGGACTGAGACAACATAAATCATGTGATATGAAATGATTATATCACATCAGAACTATCACTTCATTCATAGTTCTTCCAGGGGAGACAAAAACCATTGCTTCCGAGCATTCCATCTTTCACTCTGGAATAAGCAAAATAATGACAGAGTAGAAAACTTATGTATTTAAATATATTATATCCAAACCCATTTCTTTTTCACTGAAGGTCCACCATTTCTAATGCTCAACCAAGTTTTTGATCAGAGCCTGAGGTCACCAGAACCCCTGGAATAGTATAATTATAAAAGGTTTAAGAAGTAACAGAGAGTTGGGCACAGTGGCTCACGCCTGTAATCCCAGCACTTTTGGGAGGCTGAGGCAGGCAGATCACGAGGTCAGGAGATCAAGACCATCCTGGATAACATGGTGAAACCCCATCTCTACTAAAAATACAAAAAATTAGCCAGGCGTGGTCGCGGGGGCCTGTAGTCCCAGCTACTCAGGAGGCTGAGGCCAGAGATTGGCATGAACCCGGGAGGCGGAGGTTGCAGTGAGCCGAGATTGCCCCACTGCACTCCAGTCTGGATGACAGAGAGAGACTCCATCTCAAAGAAGAAAAAAACAAAGTAACAGGGGTTGCTATCTGAATGTAACTGTTAATGATGGCAAGAAAGTAGTGCAGGCTGTAAAGAAAAGACTGCCCCAGGGATTATAATTTAGCCAACTGAGACTTTTAACTGCCTTATTACTCTTTTAAGTGTTTAATGCCACTAAGTTTGAGTCACGTGTGGCTACTCTGAACACGAATTGACTATTTAACAAGCATCTCACTTGATAGATGTATATGTAAAATTAGGCAAAGTGAAA
This sequence comes from Homo sapiens, assembly GCF_000001405.40. Classification (NCBI taxonomy): domain Eukaryota; kingdom Metazoa; phylum Chordata; class Mammalia; order Primates; family Hominidae; genus Homo; species Homo sapiens. Next base: position 145,393,705 of record NC_000007.14, read on the forward strand.
AGAGCTAAGGAATGATTGTTCTAAGACTTTCTAACAGTAGAACATCTATAAGGGCACTTCATTTTATTTTGTGTTGAAGGCATAGTGTGGATAAGAAAGAAGAAAAAGAAAATGTCTTCAAGACATCTTGGATGACGAAACCAATAGTGATGGTGGAAATTAAATATATATACGTACATATATTTTTGCGGGTTTAATGAATATTCGTCATTTATGAAATTAAAAGCAACTGACAGTTTCAGGTTTTAATAGTTTATAACATATTCTTTTGTCAGTATTCAAAACTTTTATCAGTTTATGTGAGTGTGCTTGTGTGTGTGTGTATGTACCAGGCAGCTGTTAAGCAATTGCAAAATTTTTAGTGATCCCTAAAACATACTTTACATGAGAAAAATGTTTTTCCTTTAGGGGAAGAAACACAATTAAAATCAATTTTATTCCTGCATTCTCCTTGGACTTTTAATATTTTAGTTGTCTTCCTTTTTATTAAAAAACCTGAATTTTTATCAGCTGAAAAAAATTGGAGCATAGAAATATTTTATGCAATATTTGAATTGCTAATTAAGTGTGGGATTTATTTTAGGACTGTAGTTTCTGAATCAGTGGAAATAACAGCTGTGACTGTTCATGTGGCACTTTTGAGACTCCATACTCTCAGGCAAAACGTGTAGAGTATAAAATAGACTATCTCTAATATGGGACACTGGAATTCATTATACATTTCTTTTTACACTGAGAAAAACGGACTGAGGTTCTTATCTGCTGTTAATGTTCATCACAAGACACTTCCCTCCCTGCCACCCCAGCTCTGCTATGTAGGGGAGTTTTACAAAAAGAGCAATTGACTTCCTAAGTATTTTCTTCAACTTTAACCCTGTAGAAACTGATTTAAAACCTGAAAGCAATTCTACAGGAAAATATAAAATTGTAATGTGATCTGCATTTTAAAATGGTGAGTATTTTTCAGGAAATATCTAAAAAATTATAAGGCTGCCTTACATTTACATAAAACAGGCAGTAAATAGGACAAAGTAATGTAATCTGCAAAAGACATTCATTTGATTCTAGTTTTACCACTATGTGTTCATGGGAATACCTTAAACTCTGTCTTAGTTTGGCCTTATCTGCAAAAATAGGAATAATAATAACTAAAATACAAAAGATTTTCTAAGGAATAAATAAGATGATGTGTCTGGAAGTGATTTTTAAAAGCTTTATTGTGATAGAAGTTACATACGTAAAGTCCATCAGTTTTAAGTTCACAATTCAATGATTATTTATATATTTACAGAATTGTGCAAACACCACCTCAATCTCATGTTTAATTAAACGATTGCTGCGGTTGTCACAATTGTCAGATGGCTCTCCATGCCTCCTGGCCCTTGATGATTCGATCAAGCAACTAACCTAGGGACAGCCCTACATCAGCTGACCTTAGGATATGAACATTATCTGAGCAGGCCTCATATGAAAACACAGGTCCTTTAACAGCGCAGTTTACTCTGGCTGGTGACTGAGGAAGTAGTTTAGAGAGATTCCAAGTATGAGAGGGGCTTGACCTGGCTGATTTCTCCATTGCTGAAGTGGAGGGGCTCCTGGGGCAAGGGACAGGCAGTGGCTTCTATGAGCTGAGAGTGGTCCCTAGCCCGTGGCCAGAAAGAAAATGGAGACCTCAGTCCCTAAAATAAGAATTGAAGTTCAGGTACTTTTGTGGGGGAAGATGTAGGGTGTGCCAGCAGAGGATTGGAGGTTTAGTAGCCACTAACAGGTGCTTTTTCAAATCTAGCTACCACGGGGGGTCCCTGGAACTTAGTTTCTTAGGGGCAACCTGAGGCCAGGGCAAAGTCAAGTCTTAGGACTCTCCCATCCAAGAGGAGAGAAGACTGGGGTACTGTTACACCAACTCCAGTAAGCCATTCATTGAGGACTGTTCCCTGACAGTAGTAATAAGCTGGCACTTCTGGTGTCTGCTGCCCATAAGCAAAGTATCGTTCCAGGGCTTTGAAGAATGAAAACAAACAAACAAACAAACAGTATTTAGAGAGATGCCAGAATTGGCAGTGAGAAGTCAGAAGGGGTAAATAAAGGTCTCAGGAATGATGAGATATTGACAGATTCTATTACAGGTGCATTATATTTTTTCCATTTTCAGTTTTTTTAAAAATGTAAGCTATGTCCTATGGTTTTGAGACATTGTTATCTTTCTCCCACTGTAACTCCTCCTTCTGGTCAGGTGTTCCTGTTGTGTTGTTTTAGGGCTTAGATCCAAGGAAGCCGTCTTTGGACATTTGACTAAGAGAAAATCTTGCCTGATTATCAGGCATCTAGTGTATGTTTACTGGACTATTTTCCTGAATAATTGATTTTGTTTTCTGGTGTATTTGCTTGTATCTCCAACATTTGCATTGCTTTCCAATTATTCTTGCTTTATTTTTCTCAACATTGTAGGCTTCCTGGTTACTGGATGAATCTGGAATTCTTTGATTCTTTGATGTTAGTTAATACTAACCCATGGCTTGCCATGTTCTATTTTTTTCTCTTGATGCACTTTTCCCACCTCTGATTAGTCTTGGATATATAACGAGTTTCACTTTATCCCCAGCCCCTAGAGTAAATGGGTAACAGGAGGGATCTTTGCTTATCAGGCTGGCAGTTCTGGTTTGAGGTGTGAAGCAGAATCTTACCAATCATTTCCTTCCACACGTATAACTAGTTGAGTTTCAGACTAGGGGAGCTTCACCGTAAGTATTTTATTTACTGTCAAAATAACTATTAAAATACCCCATTTGGTTTGCATACATATCATAGAGGAATATTTAAAAGAAATAAAAACAAATGAGTCCACTGGAAATATGGTTTTTGTATAATAATCAAAATTCAAATTATGTGTCATTCTAAAGGTGAAAAACCTGTTGTCTTCAACAAATAGGGAGAGTTTGAAAATAGAGGTATGATAAATCACATTTATTGTAGCACTGTTTGCAATAGTGAACATAGTAAAAATTGGAAAATTTAAGCTAATATAGACATGGATAATTAAATTTTCTTAACAAACAGAAGATCTATTCATTACAGCATGGTTCAATCTCTAAAAAATCATGTTTAAATGCAAAATGCATGTTGCACAATGAACATTTGCAAATTCCTCTTCTGGTTCTCAACTGTATTAGTGTGTTCTCTTGCTGCTATAGAGACATACCCGAGACTGAGTAATTTATAAAGGAAAGAGGTTTAATTGACTCACAGTTCCAAAGGGCTGGGGAGGTCTCAGTACACTTACAATCATGGCAGAAGGGGAAGCAAACATGTCCCTCTTCACAAGGGAGCAGGAGAGAGAAAAATGAGAGCCAAACAAAGGGGGAAGCCCCTTATAGAACCATCAGATCATTTGAAAACTCCCTCATTACCATGAGAATAGCATGGGGGAAACCATCCCCGTGATTCAGTTACCTCCCACTGGGTCCCTCCCACAACACGTGGGGATTATGAGAACTACAATTCAAGATGAGATTTGGGTGGGGACACAGTCAAACCATATCATCAACCGTGCTCATTAAATTCTTGCTGCCACTTTTTGATTCTTTTCTTGAACTCATCACTCATGGCCTGTCTTAGCTCTGCATTTGCCGTTACCTCTCTCTAGGAGACTTCTCCACAGCTGCTGTGCTGTCTGTCTTCTGTACATTATTCAAATCTTTGTTCATCAGTCTAAATGTTTTAGCATGTCCCACTCCAACACTCTTTATTTCCTTATCTCTCTCTCTATTTTTTTTTTTTTTGAGACAGGAACTCTCTCTATTGCTTAGGCTAGAGTGCAGTGGTGTGATAATAGCTCACTGCAGCCTCAAACTCTTGGTCTCAAGAGATCTCCCTGCCTCAGCCACCTGAGTAGCTGAGACTACAGGCACGTACCACCATGTCCAGCTAATTTTCTAATTTTTTGTAGAGACAAGGTCTCACTATGTTGTCCAGGCTGCTCTCAAACTTCTGAGCTCAAGCGATCCTCCCACCTTTACTTTCCAAAGTGCTTATCCTTTTTAAAAAGCAATTATCACTTCTTCATAGCATATTGTAAATTTATGTGTTTTGTTCCTCAACTATAATATAAGTCTAAAAAATACAAACTTTATATCGTTTTTCACTGTAAATTCAATTCCTGGATTATTGTTTAGCACACAGAAAGTGCCGCAAACAAGGTTGTTTAACTAAATGAATGAGTATCTATATTTTAATGTCATTTATTAAAAAATTAAAAGATTATTTCCACATATGAATTCATATGTATGAATGACACAAGCTTCCATAAGAGACTGAAAAATAAAATTCCGCATCGCAAAGAATGAAAGAAATGACATAGGGAGGGGTACTCATGTGGTATTGACTCCCTAACTAATGTACTTTCAATTTAAAAAATCTGAAGTAGATTTGCCAGATGCCTGGATTGGCTAAAGCAGGGTGATAGGTACTCATGTGTTCATTTTATTAGTCTTTAGATTTTGGGGTGCTTGGAATAATTCAAAATTAAAGCAATTAAATAAAAGACTTCAAGAGAATCAGAGATTGGCTATGGTAAATTGCTGACTTTTTTTTTCCTCATCTTGCTTTAAATTAACCTTTTTATTGCCTTAGTGATGAAAGAGTACATTTAGTTTTATGTGAAAGTGAGCTATAATGAAGATATGGGAATAAAAGAAAGGAAAGTGCTTACACAAAATTAAACTATTGACCTTAAAGCACCAGTAAAGTACATTTTCTGGCAACAGCATTTTCTGTTTTAAAGTGGAAATCACTACCTATATAGAGAAGTAAAACAGAAAAGAAAATGGAAGGTTTTACCCTTTCCCCCCAAAATTGGAAGAGGTATTTTGTAAATTCTGGTGATGATTAATTAAAAAAGGAATATAGTCAGTTTTATTAATTTTTAATTAAGACAGCAGGAAAATGTTACATTATGGTTATATAGTTACGTGTTGCTCAGATTTCATTCAGAAGTCTGTGAAAATTGCATTAGTCATATTGTTAAACTAAACAAAATTTCTCCTGATTAAAATTCTATGTTTGCATTTCTTTGCTTTAAGCCTTGTGGAAAACCAATAAGAAAAAAAAAGTTTAGACAATGTCTCTTGGAAATCAGAGACTGAAGCAAAGTTAACATTCTCAGGCTTTAGTGGGGGCAATCCCAGGGCTCTATGTGTGAGGGAAGGAGGGAAAACAATTATAAGCAAATGGGATTTGGGATTTGGTGTATTACCAAGACAAACAGCCTGAGGAGTCACAGAACTAGTTGCTCAGTCATGTGGAATGTCCCCAGGAGAGGGCTCCTGGAACAGTTTGTCCGTGGTATGGAGGAAGGAAGAATTTATATGTCAGACACTTATATATTCTGGCTTGCACTGGTCAAAATTTGCACAAAAAGTGTTAACTCCTTTGCACTCATTGGCTTTGCTGTCTGGTCCAGGGGACAGCAATAGGCAAGCCAGAGCTTCTGGAATTCCAACTGGGTCCAACCTGGGCCCTGGACTCCTGATGCCTTTGCTGCAGCATGTGCGATGGCATCCTGTGGCAGTGCTGTCTTCATGACTAGGAGGGCTGAGATACTCTGAGGCATTAGATAATGAGGAGATGGTGAGGAGAAAGAGGATGGATAGTGATGGCCAGGGCTCTTTGAGCAGGAACGTGAAGCTCGGGGGACAGCTGGATACAAGAAAACCTACCAGGACACAAAAACTGATGGATCGTAAAGAAGTTGAGAGACTTAAAAAATGTTAATGGACAGAATTTACCTTAGCTTAAAACTTAAATATGTGGTAATTTCCCTGTGAAAGCATACTGTTACTTTGTTTAATTGGGTTACTGCATAATGAAAAAAAAAACTAGGAGAGATATTAATCTTGTTGCTGAAACCAAACACTTTAAGCCAAAAAAAAAAATAGTTTGTCAAATGAATTTTTTAGTGAAGAAGATTTGAATTAGGCTCGGGTTCCATTGTAACTAACCTAGTAGATGACAGTTTCCAGAAGGATTCTGGTAGGGCTCTTTGAAGGACTCATGCAAATTACACTTAATTTCTGCAGTGTGAGGTAAGGAAGCTTCTTTCTGAGGAAATGAATTTCTTTTTTTTTCTCACAAAGATCTAGAAATCCTTTCTATACATCCTCTGGAACCACTTCTGGTGTTTCTTGAGAAAATATTCAGGACTAGCTGCTAAGAGATATCATCCAAATGAACTGACTAAGCCAAAAACTTAAGCTCGATATTGGCATTTTGTCATTGACAGGCTCCCTGAGATGATCTACTCTATATGTTTTTTTCTACAAAGCTTCAACTGCAATATTATATAATAGGGTTAGAATTACATTTTTCAGAATAATTGGAAGAATACCTAGAGAATTTTAAATACAGAAAGGCAAATGGCTGAGTGCATAGGCTTTGGGGTTCTAGTTCCACCTCACTGGCTGAGTGACTTTGTGCAAATTTCCTTCTCTCTTAGCATTTGAGGAGTAGGAAGAGAATTATATTTAACTCAGATTTATTGTGAAAATTAAATGAGATGATTTATATATAGTGACATACATAAGTCCTTGATATAAGTTGATTTTCTCTACTAAACAATTCTTTCCACAAATTCTTAGTGTCTTGGATTAATCTTGACCAGTTTTAATCTTTTATTTCATATTACTTTTCACAGAAGCATAGACTGCCATGATAGGGAGGGAGTTTTTTGTAAATTGGTTCATCCATTATTTTATTAAAACGTTTCCTAAATGTTTCCTATATTACATCATTACATTTTTGATAAGTGGTCATCTAGTCTCTGAATATTTCTTATGGCAATGAGCTCACTACCTTTTATTGCTGCCTATTGGGCAAGGTTTCTTTTATTCTACTAAGTACAATTGCTGTATGTCTCTAATGTGAATTATATTATATTATAATTTCATGGTCATAGTAGTTAACTACATTATATTTTAACTGACTTGTTCATGAGCAATTCCCACTGACGTTTGAAAAATAAATTTTTCTTGATGGCAATGATAAAGAGAAAGAAATAAAACTAATTCATATAGTAATTAGTTTTTGATTCTGTACCATTAGTATTTTCAAATTTTTAATGCCTGGAGTTGAGAATAGGGCTGCACGGTTGTATTATAAGTTCTAATTTTCAAATATCCCGCAAAATTTGGGAAATTATTCTTAGATCAACTCTATCACCAACAATAAAAACAGAACCTGCCATACTGAAACATAGTCACAAAAGAAACCTTTTTCTTCTGACCTGAAAAGTCCAGAATATATTGCTTTGATTGTTCCCATTCAGTATCTACAATAGGAAGATAAAATATCACCTTCCTCCAGGTATAAAATAGAATTAGGCAAAATAACTTGAAGGAATGCCTCTCTTAACATTATCACATTTTTCAGTTTGCATTACCCATTCACTATGGAAATGTGTGGTATATTTTTCTTCTAATAGAGGGTAAGCACTGACAGCCCATTGTACTGAAGGTTACGTTATTAATGATTGCTATGAGGGCTGGAGAGAAAGGAAAGGAATCTTGTACATATAAATGTAATAAACTTCCTGCTCTTTCAATCTTCAGCAGGTACAGAATTCTCTATCTGGAGGCCTGAAATGTGTAATTGATTCTGATAGGAATTAATTGCAAGAATAGCATACATGCAGAAAATGCTTCAACTTTTCTAATGGTTTATCTCAAAGCCTTGCTTTTAATTATGTATCTTAAAAAAATACCACTCACAGGGGAAGAAAAAGAAAAGAACTGGGCTGAATTCTGAAAGTAACTATAAGGTTTTCTAAGTATCCAGATTAACACAAAGAGAAATTGAAACATTATACTAATGATTGGACTGGTATTGTCAGTAATAAGCAGATCTGCCTATTTACAAATGACAGCCTCTAGCAGCATACTTTAAAGCATATGCATCTTATTTATTACAATTGGGGTAGATTGGGAGGATGATTATTGTGTGCATAATTATTTTCTTTTCTTATAAAGAATTAATTTAAAAGGCCCCTGATGTGATTTGGCTCTGTGTCACCACCCAAATCTCATCAAAAATTGCAATCCTGACGTGTTGAGGGAGGAACCTGGTGGCAGGTGATTGGATCATGGGGTGGTTCTCCCATGCTCTTCTCCTGATAGAGAGTGAGTTCTCACAAGCATTGATGGTTTTAAAGTATGGCCCTTCCTCTCTCTCTCTCTCTCTTTGTCCTCTCTCTCTCTCTCTCCTGCTACCATGTAGGAGACACCTTGCTTCCCCTTTGCCTTCTGCCATGATTGTGTTTCCTGTGGCCTCCCTAGCCATGCAGAACTTTGAGTCAGTTGAACCTTTTTTGTTTATAAATTACACAGTCTCAGGTAGTATCTTTATAGCAGTGTGAGAATGGACTAATACAGCAGCCAAAATGTTATTGGGTAGCGTTTCCGATGCATGCATGAGGGCAACTCATGAATGATAATAGCCTTGTTTTCATCTCAGTATCTCCCTCTACTAGTCCTATGAAATCAAAGAAGTTTCTCACCTCGGAGTCACTCTATTATTTTTTTGTGAAATAAAGAGGGCCTATGTGCTGCTTATATCCCTGGGCTTTTGAGATCAGATGACTTCACATATGTTAAAATGCTTTGGTGTTGAAAATAAACCTAGATGATGTTAAAAGGATTTTATGTAATTGAATGTTCGACTCAAAGCAGCTAGACTTTTGGAATTTTATCACCTGGAAGTATTATTAAAATTTAAATATTTTAAAATGAAATTTTCTCCCAGATTAATATTATATTGCTATAACTAGACAAAATGAGTATTAATATAGCCTGAATATGTGTCCCCACCAAATCTCATGTTGAAATGTAATCTCCAATGTTGGAGGTAGGACCTGCTTGGGCCATAAGGCTGCTTGGTGCTGTCCTCATGATAGTGAGTGAGTTGTCATGAGGTCTGGTTGTTTAAATGTGTGGCACCTCCCCCCAGTTCCCTTTATTTCTCCTGCTTTTGTCATGTGATGTACCTGCTCCTACTTCACCTTCTGCCATGAGTAAAAGGCCTCCCTAGAAGTTGAGAAGGTGCAATGACATTCTTATACAGCCTGCAGAATTATAAGCCAATTAAACTTCTTTTCTTTATAAATTACCCAGCCCAAGTATTTCTTTATATCAATTCTAGAATGGCCTAACACAGAAAATTGGTACCAGATGGGGAGTCTTGCGACAAAGGTATCTGAAAATGTGGAAGTGACTTGGAACTGGGTAACAGACAGAGGTTGGTAGAGTTTGGAGGTCTCAGAAGAAGACAGAAAGATGAGGGGGAAGTTTGGAATTTTTAGAGACTGGTTAAATGGTTGTGACCAAAATGCTGATAGTGACATTGATAGTGACATAGATAGATTATGAGGTCTCAGATGGAAATGAGGAACTTATTGGAAACTAGAGCAAAGGTCACACATGTTATGCCTTTGCAAATAACTTAGCTGCATTCTGTTCATGACCTAGGAATCTGTGGAAGTTTGAACTTCAGAGTGATGACCTAAGGCATCCAGTGGAAGAAATTTCTAAGTCACAAAGTGTTCAAGATATGGCCTGGCTGCTTCTAACAGCCTATACTCAGAGGCAGGGGCAAAGAAATGGCTTAAAGTTGGAACTTATGCTTACACAGGAAGCAGAGCATAAAAGTTTGGAAAATCTTCAGCCTGGCCATATGGTAAAGAAAGAAATGCTTTTTCAGGAGAGGGTTTCTAGCAGGCTGCTAGATAAATTTGTATAAATAAAAAGCAGCCCAATCCTGATAGCCAAGACAATGGGAGAAGGCCTGAAAGTCATTTTGGAGATCTTTGAGGCAGCCCCTCCCATCACAGGCCCAGAGATCCAGGAGGACTGAATTGTTTTGGGGCCCAGGCCTGGGGCACCACTGTCCTGCACCATCCCAGGAGTTTTCTCCTTGCATCCTGGCAACTCTGGCTCCAGCCTCAGGCCAAAGCGGCCCATGTACAGCTTGGGCTGCTGCTTCAGAGCGTACAAGCCACAAGCTACATGGTGTTGTGCTTGTAGGTGCACAAAGTGAAAGAGTCTTGGCAGTTTCTGCCTAGATTTCAGAGGATGTATAAGAATGCCTGGGTGCCCAGGCAGAAACTGCTGTAGGGGCAGAATCCTCACAGAAAACCTCTACTAAGGCATTGTGGAGGAAAAATGTGGGATTGAGGGCACTGCCTAGTAGAGCTGTCAGAAGGAGGCCAGCCCCCTCCAGTACCCAGAATAGTAGATCTACTGGAAGCTTTCACTCTGTGCCTTGAAAAGCCACAAGCACTCAACAACCTGTGAGAGCAGCCATGGGTACTGAACCCTGCAGAGACACAGGAGCAAGAGCTGCCCAAGGTCTTGGGAAGCCACCCCTTGAATCAGTGAGCTCTAATGTGGGACATGAAGTTAAAGGAGATTATTTTGGAGCTTTAAGATTAAATGACTACCCTGATGGGTGTAGGACTTGCTTGGGTCCTGTTGCTCCTTTCTTTTAGCCAATTTCTCCGTTTTGGAATGGAAATGTTTACCCAACGCCTGTAATCCCATTGTATCTTGAAACTAAGTAACTTGTTTAATTTTATGGGCTCATAGGTGAAAGGAGCTCATCTCCAGATGAGACTGGTCTTTTGGGAGACTGTTGAGAAGGGATGATTGTATTTTGCAACGTGAGAAGGACATGAGATTTAGGGGGCCAGGGATGGAATGATATTGTTTGAATATGTATCCCCACCAATCTCATGTTGAATTTTAATCCCCATTGCCAGAGGTGGCACCGGGTGGGAGGTGTTTGGGTCATGAGGACAGATCCCTCATGGTTTGGTGTTGTCCTTGTGATAGAGAGTAAGTTTTTGTGAAATCTGGTTAAGTGTGTGGCACCCCCCACTCAACACCCTCTCTTTCTCCTGCTTTTGTCATGTGATGTGCCTATTTCTGCTTCACCTTCTCCCATGAATAAAAGCTCCCTAAGGCCTCCCCAGAGGCGGAGCAGATGCCAGTGCCATGCTGTGCACAGCCTGCAGAACCACGAGCCAATTAAATCTCTTGTCTTTATAAATTACCCAGCCTCAGCTATTCCTTTATAGCAATGCTAGAATGGCCTAACACAATTATATCTCTAAGTACATAGCAAGTTACATATATTAAAATATACCTACATTTTTAGGTTTCATTCATCTGTGACATTTAGTAACTTCTTTTACCACCCACCTTCCTATATGGTATCTTAAAACAATTTATTCTTATATTGAGTTTATTTAAAATTACTGAAAAGTCTAGAAAAACTGCTTAATATATTGCAAATTGTTCAAGATATACATTACTTGCTTAATTTCCATATCAATCTTATGAGATAAAATATGTTAATAATGTAGTTTATAGATTATGATACTGTGGATATCTTTATTCTGGCCAAGAAAAGAAACAGTATATACTATTTGTTAAACATAAGATACACAGAACTTATATAAGATATGGAGAGATAAAATTTAATTTCTACTTTAAAGAAAGAATAAGATATTGTATATAATGTTTGATTTCTTCAGATAATATGTACTACATAATCATAAAAGTATTTGAAAAATAAATTAACATAACAAAGTATTGGAAAAGGAATTAAGATATCTAAATATGATTCAATAATGCTAAAACAACAATGGTAAAACAAGAGAATTTTCTGTACAACCGTATGTTGAGAATAAATAAATATGTGATAAATATATGCTGAGAGTATCTTTCAGATATTAAACATAGACAAAATAGTTCTGATTACAGCATGATGAGAGATAAAAAGGGTAGACATGAATATTCCAATGCAATAGCCTTAGTTTCCTTTTGAGCATTTCTGAAAAGAGAAAGTTCAGAATGAAACACTAATTAACTAATTTTAAGTAAATGAAGAGCATAAGACATAGAATAGATTATCTCCCTCGATCCCCTCTACCTTCATATTCCTATATTTCAGATAGGGGCAATGGTCATTAGTTTACAAGGAGGTAATGCAAAGACTAAAAATAAAGAACTTAAAAAAAGCCATAACCAGAAAATTGCTAGAAGATTTTTATTGGCAGGTGACTAGGCTTCTATAGTTTTCTTTACAATAAATTTGTGCAAACTTTCTTTCTGCATGCTTGAGGCCAAGAGTGAGAACAATCATCAAATATAGTAAACAGCTCTTACTTAAAAACATTTTCTATATGTGAAATGTGGATGATGGTGCTGCCTGTCAGAACTTGAATTTGTTTGTATCTTAAATTGGGAGACATTTTAATTTTTAGCCTTGAGTAAATATTAATATAACTTGGTAGGAATAGACTAGTTTTACAACAATAAAATAATTACAACAACTATATAACAGTTTCAAGTGATAATTTATCTTTTTGTTACTATTTTTCTTTCTTTTTTTTTTTTGCTAGCAAATAGAACTCAATTTCAGATTTCTTTTTCCTGCAATTTTTTCAAGTAACTCAAAGTTTTCTGATATTGTTCAACTAAAGGTCAACATTTTTGTGTAAATTCAAAAAACTTTTTCTTTCCAGACACTCTATAAATGGGCTATATCCTCTTACAGTCCCAGGGCAAAATAAAGTATGGGAACTGCTTTGTTGAGTAACTCTGAGACCCATATAATCACTGCAGAAAACTCTTTAGCCAACCTAGTGTTCTGTACCTTTAAGAGGACTGCAGAGAGAAGTTGGTTCAACTGGACAGCCAACTGAAGTGGCAGAGTAGACCAGAAGCAAGGGAGGAATAGCAAGACAGGAAAATGGAAGAGGCAGAGAGAATCTCAAGGTCTAGCATTTTTATATGGTTTGCAAAGTGCTCAGCTTTGATGTCTTCAGTGGAATACCAAAACTATGCCCCAAATTTCTTTTGAAGTTTGGCTCCATGGTTTCACAATTTATTCTTCTGCTGTGTTGATTTCATGCCTCATCTCCTATGTTTTACCTGGACAAGTTTAGTAAAGCCTTATTTGTTTTATGAGACAGTTGATTATCACTACAGTAGTTCCTCCTTATCCATGGCTTCACTTTCTATAATTTCACTTACCCACAGTCAGCTGCAGTATAAAACTATTAAGTGGACAATCCTAAGAATAAACAGTTCATGAATTTTAAATTGCACACTGCTTTGAGTAGTGAAACGAAATCTCCCACCTGAATCATTCTTTTGTTTGGTGTATCCACACTGAAGATGCTATTCACCCATTGGGCATCAACATTGTCTGTTCCTGACATCCACCCACCAACATCTTCATGGTTGGATAATTCAGGATCACCTAAAGCAGATGATGCTCCTTCTGACATGTCATCAGAAGGTCAATAGTAGCCTAACACCATGTCACCTCACTTCATCTCATTATGTAGGCAATGTATCATCTCACCTCATCACAAGAAGAAGGATGATTACAATACAATAAGATCTTTCCTCATCACAAGAAGGGTGATTACAGTACAATAAGATCTTTTGAGAACTCAGTCACATAACATTTATTACAGTATATTGTTATAATTGTTCTATTTTATTGTTAGTTTTTGTTGTTAGTCTGTTACTGTGCTTAACTTATAAGTTAAACTTTATCATAAGTATGTATGTATATAATGTTTGTATGTATTAAAAAAGCATAGTGTATATAGGATTCAATTGTATTCATGGTTTCAGCCACCCATTGTGGTTATTGGAACATATCCCCCAGATAAGTGGGGGGACTACTGTATAATTTTATGTAATTGATTAATACTTTATTTATGTATTTATGTATGTATTTATTAATTTATTTATTGTTACAGGGTCTCACTCTGTAGCCCAGCCCAGAGTACAGTGGCACAAATATAGTTCACTGCAGGCTTGAACTCCTGGGCTCAAGCAATCCTTTTGCTTCAGCCTCCCAAGTAGCTGAGACTACAGGCACAGACTGCCACACCCAGGTAAGTTTGTTGTTGTTGTTGTTTAAGAAATGAGCTCTCTCTATGATACCCAGGGTGGTCTTGAACTCCTGGCCTTAACAATCCTCCCACTTCAATCTCCCAAAGTTCTGGGATTAACAGATGTACGCTACCATGACTGGCCCAGTGGTATATTCTTAAATGTTAACTTTGTCCTGGTTTGGAAATTTAGTTCTTTACCTGACCCTGAAGCCCCAGCTTCATCTCTCTTCTCTTTCTGTTAATAGAGAATGAAACGAATTTGCAATTTAAGAACAATATGCTACCAGCTCTGAACTCTGCTATTATGCCTGTGGCAGGTTCAGATTTACTAAACTGAATACCACTTTAGGCCTAGCAATGTGCTATAAATGTATCCTGGTGATTTACCTCATAACTCACGCAACACAGTCTGGTGGTGAAGAGCTTGATTTCTGCACTCAGCTTGATCTGTGTGAATAGTAAGGAGTTCTTAAAATTTTTTATCCTAAAGTGCTTTACAATCCATAATCCTATGTTTGACCATTTACTCTCATCATCTCTTCACTCCTTTTTGCTTGATATTATTGAATTATAAAAATTACCTTGGCCTGTTGCTTTACAAATGTTTTCAAGTTACATAATAAGCTCTTGTTATTTCTTTTCTGTGCTAGATTATAAATTCCTTGAAAATAGGGACTATTTCCTCTTTTTATTGAATATTACCAAATAGATTCTAGGACAGCTTATGAATTCTTAAACCCTGAATTAATACATTTTCGTTTAGTTAAAGAAATGAACCTCATTACTGTGATTCCTAAATTACTCACAAGTTTAAATTTAAAAGTTAATTATTTGTGATATGGTTTTCCTTTTAAAAAGAAAAAACTCAAATATGTGCATGGAATAAGCAGTTAATCAATTCTCTAGTTCTGCTAAATGCTATATATAACATAAGAGTTATTTCAATTTTAAATACTGATGCTCTCTCTGGGTGTATTGTGATATTCTATCTTGTTTGGCCATTCCAAAGGAGTTTAGAACAGTCAAGAGTGTGTTTTTGTGTTTGACTGTCTCCATTGTATTTCATACTTACTTTCAAATACATCTAATTGGAGCATGCAAGTTTGTGCCTTCTTTGATCATTACTTACCTATGACATTGTGCTAAGTCTTATCTTAAGCCTAGCAGAGTGAATGGCAGGCTGAATAGTGCCGCAACAGCTATTTCTTTTCCTTCTGAAATACTGATGCTCACAGAGCTTAATGCTGTGCTTAGCCTTGAACTGTGATCACAGCCTCCTCCAACTGAAGCTTAATGGGGCTAAGGGCTTATTGACTAATAGGAAAGGTGTGTGTAATAACCCATTGACAGGGTTTAAGTTTCTAAGAATAGTATTACAAAAGCAAATTATTAATACCATTTTGGAAAATTAACCCAGAGAGATGTCCAAGATGACTTCTTTTCCTTTGTAAGAAATGTGGATGTGCAATAATAAAAGAATGCTGCACTCAAACAAATCAGAAATGATTCATGTGCAAACCAAAACAATTAACACTGAAATGAGCAACTTTATTCAAATGCTGGTAAATTTTAGAAGGGAGAGAAAAACCTAAAACAGACAACAACCAGTCCAGCATAGCTGCCAACACTAAAATGCTGCTCAGCCAGCATCAAGCTAATAGTGAGAAGTGGAGGAGTGTATTAAGTTGAGCAAATACTGAAGAAAGTGCCTGCAGAGGGTGAACACAGTTTATTCAACTCTTACTACTCCCTTTTCCTTCCCCACCTACTAATTTACTCTTTTGGATGTTTAACAGATATTTGTTGGATGAATAGTTTTAAAAAGTATACTCCTGAGTTGCTCTGTACTTCAGTACATTTAGTACTTTTTAGTTTAGTACATTTAGTAAAGTAAACACTTACTGATGCTTACTTTATTTGGAAAAGGATTATATGGATGTAAAGACAAAGACAAACTTCCAGTTATAAAATACAGCATGAAAGAAAACCTTTTTTTTTTGTATTATTTAAGCCATATAAAATACTGCACAGACACATGCATGCTTTTTTTCTGTTTCTATTTTCAGATCTACTTTGTATAACATGAGCGTGGCTGACATGTGTTTTCAAGACATCTATCATTTTAGTTTTTTAGACTGTTCTGTTTTGATATTTATCCCTGATTCCTGTGTTTAGTTACATACTGTGGAACATGGAGAACAATTTAAAACAAAGGAAATGCCTTTGCAGGAGCTTTCCTTTACCTCAAAGAAGTTTTGTAAGCCTTTTGACAAGGTTAGTGTCAAAGAAGAATTTATCAGTTAGAAAATAATTTTAGTGGACAATGTAGAGGCCACTGAAGAGCCTGAAGTAGAGAGTTGGGAGTATTGAATTTTATGACCGAGGTATATATGTGCCATTATAGAGGCTAATTCTGCACTATAGATGTCATGAAAATATATTGCCATTAATCTCCTAATGTGAATTTTACAAAAAGACCTTGGGAAGATGCATGAAAGCACAAACCAGGGAAAGGTGCAACAGTTTGCTTGGATTACAGTTCCCTGGAAGGATTAGAGACTTGTTTCACTCGATGGCCTCTTTTAACACTACATTTGCAAAGAAAAAAAAAACCAACAAACAAAAAAAGACAAAAGAATATAAACTAAAAAAATTTTCTAATACCAATCTTACCAGTGTATTAAGTTATCCAATTTTAATGTTGAGAAAGATCTTTTTTTTAATGGCAGGTTTATTTCTTCATGCCAATGATGAAATTCATTCTATCATATCTTAAACAAATGGATAGTTGGCAGCTCAGAGTTGGTGGTAAGAACACACATGTCACTTTGAGTGGGGCAATTTGGAGTTTAAGTCTTAGCTGTGTTGCTTAAACCTTTTTGAGTCTCCCTGTTCTTACGAGTAAGCATTCTGAAAAATGTAATAGAGTAATTAAAGAAATCCTGTAAGGGTACTAGGTTAGCAATACATTGATGTTGTTTTTTACACTGTCAATTAAAATAGTCTTTTCTTTTGCAAAAAGAAAATAGCTCAGCAAAAGACTGCTGTTCTATAAATTTCACTATTTTTTGAAATCCTGTTGTATTATAAAGAATTACTCCTCCTCATTCACTTCATGACTTCTTTTAAATATTAAGAGGCAGCCATTAATCCTTGTTTTATTGTCTGTAGATGAAGCACTTGTAAGGGCCAAAGGAAAACTTCCCTTTAGTCCTTGGAAGTTTTGCTGAAAAATCAGAAAACCTGGTTTCATCAATTCAGATTCTATCTACAGATGCAATTTTTCCCCACAAAGACAGCTTTGTAGGGCTACTTCTATTTGCAGAGCTTCTGAACAGCCATCTCAAAATATCAAAAAAGTATATTTTATGGTAAAACATTTTGATTTCCTTTACTCACAAACAACCCCTACCCCCAAAACCCACCACTGCCACCACTAACAATAAAAACCCTGTTTCTCAAGCATTCCTCACAGTCTTTAAATCCTTCTAACTCCTCCGTATGCATTTAAATAGTAAAATTCACATCCTGACTCAGAGACACAGAAGAATGGAAGAATAATTTTGACATAGAATACTTCAGAGGTGTCATTTTACAGAAATAGCAAATCGTGTGGAGGGTGGGATGCTGAGAGATTGCTGAAAAGTTATCTGGGAACTAGATTGAAACAGGTGTCAAGTACCATGCTAATTTATTTAAGTAGTTTGATTTTTTTTTTTAATGGAGGCGGTATTGATGTTTTTCTAAAGGGGGAAATGATGTATCTGAATTTGTGTTTTTTGCATGAGCTATGCTAAGGGGTAGAGAGGAGAACAGATTGGAGGTGGAGGTTGTAGGCCACAGAGTAACCACGAGTTAAGAAGTTTCTGCAATAGTCTGTATAATAGTGGTGGGGTCTGACCAGGAGCATGACAGTGAGCATGGGAGAAGAAGAGTCAAGAGAATTACAAGAGGGAGGAGAGGAGAGGGAAAGTTAATAATTTTCTTATTTGAGCAGGTGAACAACTGGAGATATTTTTAAAATTGTCTTTTTAATTTTTATATGTACATAGTAGGTTAATATATTGTATTAGTACATTCTCATGCTGCTAATAAAGACATATCCAAGACTGGGTAATTTATAAAAGAAAGAGATTTAATGGACTCACAGCTCCACATAGAGCTGAGGAAGCCTCACAATCATGGCAAAAGGTGAAGGAAGAGCAAAAGCACGTCTTACATGGCCACAGGCAAGAGGGCATGGGCAGGGGAACTCCCCTTTATGAAACCATCAGATCTCATGAGACTTATTCACTGTCACTCAAACACCACGGGAAAAACACACCATCATGATTCAATTCCTTCCCACCAGGCCCCTCCCATGACCCGTGGGGATTATTACAATTCAAGGTAAGATTTGGGTGGGGACACAGAGCCAAACTATATCATATATTTATGGGAAACATGAGATATTTTGATACAGACATATAGTATCTAATAATTACATCAGAGTAAATGAGGTATCCATCACCTTAAGCATAAGTCATTTCTTTGTGTTATAAACATTCAGATTGTACTCCCTCTGTTATTCTAAAATGTACAACAAATTATTGCTGACTGTAGTCACCTTGTTTTGCTATTAAATGCTAGACCTTGTTCATTCTATGTAACTATATTTTTATACCCATTAACCATTCCTACTTTCCTTCCCCCACTCCCCACTACCCTTCCTAGCCTCTGGTAACTGACATTCTACTTTCTATTTCAGTGGGGGATTCTAACTACAATTGCATTAGGGTGATTAGAGAATAGGGGAAGAGTAGGGTGGGTAAGCGAGCAGAGGGTGGTAACATAACTTAGAGACGGTTTCTGTTTGAAATGCCTATGGAACATCATGGCACAAAATTTTTTATCAAATGTTTTACTGAAATAATGAAAACTATATCTATTCAATTTTTATTAATTTATTTGGAAATATTTTAATTTCAATATTTACTTCACTTGAAAAAAATAACACGTAGCATTTATCATATATTCTGGAGTTCAGATAAAAGGACAGAGAAGCAGTGTTTATGGAGCTAGGAGTCCCTAAGGGTCCACTCTCTTGGGATACTTCCTCCTAGATGCATTTGGTTCTCACAGAAACAAAAATGTATAAGGTATAGACATTAAAGCATATTCACACATTATATCATTACTTATTTCTACATGGCTAAATCAATATTATTTTCTGTGTCTTTGTGATCATAATAAATTATCAACATTTGAATAATAAATTTTGAAGCATATTGGCATATATATTCATATATAATCCTTGCAAAATCTTTTTATTATTATTATTATTATACTTTAAGTTTTAGGGTACATGTGTACAATGTGCAGGTTAGTTACATATGTATACATGTGCCATGCTGGTGTGCTGCACCCATTAACTCGTCATTTAGCATTAGGTATATCTCCTAATGCTATCCCTCCCCCCTCCGCCCACCCCACAACAGTCCCCAGAGTGTGATGTTCTCCTTCCTGTGTCCATGTGTTCTCATTGTTCAATTCCCACCTGAGTGAGAACATGCGGTGTTTGGTTTTTTGTCCTTGCGATAGTTTACTGAGAATGATGATTTCCAACTTCATCCATGTCCCTAAAAGGACATGAACTCATCATTTTTTATGGCTGCATAGTATTCCATGGTGTATATGTGCCACATTTTCTTCATCCAGTCTATCATTGTTGGACATTTGGGTTGGTTCCAAGTCTTTGCTATTGTAAATAGTGCCGCAATAAACATACATGTGCCTGTGTCTTTATAGCAGCATGATTTATAGTCCTTTGGGTATATACCCAGTAATGGGATTGCTGGGTCAAATGGTATTTCTAGTTCTAGATCCCTGAGGAATCGCCACACTGACTTCCACATTGGTTGAACTAGTTTACAGTCCCACCAACAGTGTAAAAGCGTTCCTATTTCTCCACATCCTCTCCAGCACCTGTTGTTTCCTGACTTTTTAATGATTGCCATTCTAACTGGTGTGAGATGGTGTTTCATTGTGGTTTTGATTTGCATTTCTCTGATGGCCAGTGATGGTGAGCATTTTTTCATGTGTTTTTTGGCTGCATAAATGTCTTCTTTTGAGAAGTGTCTGTTCATGTCCTTCACCCACTTTTTGATGGGGTTTTTTGTTTTTTTCCTGTAAATTTGTTTGAGTTCATTGTAGATTCTGGATATTAGCCCTTTGTCAGATGAGTAGGTTGTGACAATTTTCTCCCATTTTGTAGGTTGCCTGTTCACTCTGATGGTAGTTTCTTTTGCTGTGCAGAAGCTCTTTAGTTTAATTAGATCCCATTTGTCAATTTTATCTTTTGTTGCCATTGCTTTTGGTGTTTTAGACATGAAGTCCTTGCCCATGCCTATGTCCTGAAAGGTAATGCCTAGGTTTTCTTCTAGGGTTTTTATGGTTTTAGGTCTAACGTTTAAGTCTTGAATCCGTCTTGAATTAATTTTCGTATAAGGTGTAAGGAAGGGATCCAGTTTCAGCTTTCTACCTATGGCTAGCCAGTTTTCCCAGCACCATTTATTAAATAGGGAATCCTTTCCCCATTGCTTGTTTTTCTCAGGTTTGTCAAAGATCAGATAGTTGTAGATATGCAGCATTATTTCTGAGGGCTCTGTTCTGTTCCATTGATCTTTATCTCTATTTTATTACCAGTACCATGCTGTTTTGGTTACTGTAGCCTTGTAGTATAGTTTGAAGTCAGGTAGCGTGATGCCTCCAGCTTTGTTCTTTTGGCTTAGGATTGCCTTGGTGATGCGGGCTCTTTTTTGGTTCCATATGAACTTTAAAGTAGTTTTTCCCAATTCTGTGAAGAAAGTCATTGGTAGCTTGACGGGGATGGCATTGAATCTATAAATTACCTTGGGCAGTATGGCTATTTTCACGATATTGATTCTTCCTACCCATGAGCATGGAATGTTAATCCATTTGTTTGTATCCTCTTTTATTTCCTTGAGCAGTGGTTTGTAGTTCTCCTTGAAGAGGTACTTCAGGTCCCTTGTAAGTTGGATTCCTAGGTATTTTATTTTCTTTGAAACAATTGTGAATAGGAGTTCATTGTTGATTTGGCTCTCTGTCTGTTATTGGTGTATAAGAATGCTTGTGATTTTTGCACATTGATTTCATATCCTGAGACTTTGCTGAAGATGCTTATCAGCTTAAGGAGATTTTGGGCTGAGACAATGGGGTTTTCTAGATATACAATCATGTCATCTGCAAACAGGGACAATTTGACTTCCCCTTTTCCTAATCGAATATCCTTTATTTCCTTGTCCTGCTGAATTGCCCTGGCTAGAACTTCCTACACTATGTTGAATAGGAGTGGTGCGAGAGGGCATCCCTCTCTTGTGCCAGTTTTCAAAGGGAATGCTTTCAGTGTTTGCCCATTCAGTATGATATTGGCTGTGGGTTTGTCATAGATAGCTCTTATTATTTTGTGATACGTCCCATCAATACCTAATTTATTGAGAGTTTTTAGCATGAAGGGTTGTTGAATTTTATCAAAGGCCTTTTCTGCATCTATTGAGATAATCATGTGGTTTTTGTCTTTGGTTCTGTTTATATGCTGGATTACATTTATTGATTTGTGTATACTGAACTAGCCTTGCATCCCAGGGATGAAGCCCACTTGATCATGGTGGATAAGCTTTTTGATGTGCTGCTGGATTCAGTTTGCCAGTATTTTATTGAGGATTTTTGCATCAATGTTCATCAAGGATATTGGTCTAAAATTCTCTTTTTTGGTTGTGTCTCTGCCCAGCTTTGGTATCAGGATGATGCTGTCCTCATAAAATGAGTTAGGGAGGATTCTCTCTTTTTCTATTGATTGGAATAGTTTCAGAAGGAATGGTACCAGTTCCTCCTTGTACCTCTGGTAGAATTCGGCTATGAATCCATCTGGTCCTGGACTCTTTTTGGTTGGTAAGCTATTGATTATTGCCACAATTTCAGAGCCTGTTATTGGTCTACTCAGAGATTCAACTTCTTCCTGGTTTAGTCTTGGGAGGGTGTATATGTCGAGGAATTTATCCATTTTTTCTAGATTTTCTAGTTTATTTGTGTAGAGGTGTTTGTAGTATTCTCTGATGGTAGTTTGTATTTCTGTGGGATCAGTGGTGATATCCCCTTTTCATTTTTTATTGCATCTATTTGATTCTTCTCTCTTTTTTTCTTTATTAGTCTTGCTAGTGGTCTGTCAATTTTGTTGATCCTTTCAAAAAACCAGCTCCTGAATTCATTAATCTTTTGAAGGGTTTTTTGTGTCTCTATTTCCTTCAGTTCTGCTCTGATTTTAGTTATTTCTTGCCTTCTGCTAGCTTTTGAATGTGTTTGCTCTTGCTTTTCTAGTTCTTTTAATTGTGATGTTAGGGTGTCAATTTTGGATCTTTCCTGCTTTCTCTTGTGGGCATTTTGTGCTATAAATTTCCCTTTACACACTGCTTTGAATGTGTCCCAGAGATTCTGGTATGTTGTGTCTTTGTTCTCGTTGGTTTCAAAGAACATCTTTATTTCTTCATTTCATTATGTACCCATTCAGGAGCAGATTGTTCAGTTTCCATGTAGTTGAGCGGTTTTGAGTGATTTCTTAATCCCAAGTTCTAGTTTGATTGCACTGTGGTCTGAGAGACAGTTTGTTATAATTTCTGTTCTTTTACATTTGCTAAGGAGAGCTTTACTTCCAACTATGTGGCCAATTTTGGAATAGGTGTGGTGTGGTGCTGAAAAAAATGTATATTCTGTTGATTTGGGGTGGAGAGTTCTGTAGATGTCTATTAGGTCTGCTTGGTGCAGAGCTGAGTTCAATTCCTGGATATCCTTGTTAACTTTCTGTCTCGTTGATCTGTCTAATGTTGACAGTGGGGTCTTAAAGTCTCCCATTATTATTGTGTGGGAGTCTAAGTCTCTTTGTAGGTCACTCAGGACTTGCTTTATGAATCTGGGTGCTCAGGTATTGGGTGCATATATATTTAGGATAGTTAGTTCTTCTTGTTGAATTGATCCCTTTACCATTATGTAATGGCCTTCTTTGTCTCTTTTGATCTTTGTTGGTTTAAAGTCTGTTTTATCAGAGACTAGGATTGCAACCCCTGCCTTTTTTTGTTTTCCATTTGCTTGGTAGATCTTCGTCCATCCTTTTATTTTGAGCCTATGTGTGTCTCTGCACGTGAGATGGGTTTCCTGAAATACAGCACACTGATGGGTCTTGACTCTTTATCCAGTATGCCAGTCTGTGTCTTTTAATTGGAGCATTTAGTCCATTTACATTTAAAGTTAGTATTGTTATTTGTGAATTTGATCCTGTTATTATGATGTTAGCTGGTTATTTTGCTCGTTAGTTTGATGCAGTCTCTTCGTAGTCTCGATGGTCTTTACATTTTGGCATGATTTTGCAGCGCCTGGTACCGGTTGTTCCTTTCCATGTTTAGTGCTTCCTTCAGGAGCTCTTTTAGGGCAGGCCTGGTTGTGACAAAATCTCTCAGCATTTGCTTGTCTGTAAAGTATTTTATTTCTCCTTCACTTATGAAGCGTAGTTTGGCTGGATATGGAATTCTGGGTTGAAAATTCTTTTCTTTAAGAATGTTGAATATTGGCCCCCACTCTCTTCTGGCTTGTAGAGTTTCTGCCGAGAGATCCGCTGTTAGTCTGATGGGCTTCCCTTTGTGGGTAACCCGACCTTTATCTCTGGCTGCCCTTAACATTTTTTCCTTCATTTCAACTTTGGTGAATCTGACAATGATGTGTCTTGGAGTTGCTCTTCTCGAGGAGTATCTTTGTGGCATTCTCTGTATTCCCTGAATCTGAATGTTGGCCTGCCTTGCTAGATTGGGGAAGTTCTCCTGGATAATATCCTGCAGAGTGTTTTCCAACTTGGTTCCATTCTCCTTGTCACTTTCAGGTACACCAATCAGACGTAGATTTGGTCTTTTCACATAGTCCCATATTTCTTGGAGGCTTTGTTTGTTTCTTTTTATTCTTTTTCTCTCAACTTCCCTTTTCGCTTCATTTCATTCATTTCATCTTCCATCACTGATACCCTTTCTTCTAGTTGATTGCATCAGCTCCTGAGGCTTCTGCATTCCTCACGTAGTTCTCGAGCCTCGGCTTTCAGCTTCATCAGTTCCTCTAAGGACTTCTCTGTATTGGTTATTCCAGTTATACATTCGTCTAAATTTTTTTCAAAGTTTTTAACTTCTTTGCCTTTGGTTTGAATTTCCTCCTGTAGCTCGGAGTAGTTTGATCATCTGAAGCCTTCTTCTCTCAACTCATCAAAGTCATTCTCCGTCCAGCTTTCTTCCATTGCTGGTGAGGAACTGCGTTCCTTTGGAGGAGGAGAGGCACTCTGCTTTTTAGAGTTTCCAGTTTTTCTGCTCTGTTTTTTCCCCATCTTTGTGGTTTTATCTACTTTTGGTCTTTGATGATGGTGATGTACCAGTGGGTTTTTGGTGTGGATGTCCTTTCTGTTTGTTAGTTTTCCTTCTAACAGACAGGACCTTCGGCTGCAGGTCTGTTGGAGTTTGCTAGAGGACCACTCCAGACTCTGTTTGCCTGGGTATCAGCAGCGGTGGCTGCAGAACAGCGGATTTTCGTGAACCGCGAATGCTGCTGTCTGATCGTTCCTCTGGAAGTTTTGTCTCAGAGGAGTACCTGGCCACGTGAGGTATCAGTCTGCGCCTACTGGGGGATGCCTCCCAGTTAGGCTGCTTGGGGGTCAGGGGTCAGTGACCCACTTGAGGAGGCAGTCTGCCCGTTCTCAGATCTCCAGCTGCATGGTGGGAGAACCACTGCTCTCTTCAAAGCTGTCAGACAGGGACATTTAAGTCTGCAGAGGTTACTGCTGTCTTTTTGTTTGTCTGTGCCCTGCCCCCAAAGGGGGAGCCTACAGAGGCAGGCAGGCCTCCTTGAGCTGTGGTGGGCTCCACCCAGTTGGAGCTTCCCGGCTGCTTTGTTTACCTAAGCAAGCCTGAGCAATTGCGGGCGCCCATCCCCCAGCCTCGCTGCCGCCTTGCAGTTTGATCTCACACTGCTGTGCTAGCAATCAGTGAGACTCCATGGGCGTAGGACCCTCTGAGCCAGGTGCAAGATATAATCTCCTGGGTGCCGTTTTTTAAGCCCATCAGAAAAGTGCAGTATTAGGGTGGGAGTGACCCGATTTTCCAGGTGCCATCTGTCACCCCTTTCTTTGACTAGGAAAGGGAACTCCCTGACCCCTTGCACTTCCCGAGTGAGGGAAGGCCTCGCCCTGCTTCGACTGGCACACGGTGCGCTGCACCCACTGTCCTGCACCCACTGTCTGGGATTCCCTAGTGAGATGAACCCGGTACCTCAGATGGAAATGCAGAAATCACCTGTCTTCTGTGTTGCTCACGCTGGGAGCTGTAGACCGGAGCTGTTCCTATTCGGCCATCTTGGCTGCCCTCGCAAAATCTTTCGAACAAATCAAAACAAGGCAAGAAAATGCCATTGCTTGTTAAACAAGATATAAAAATAGATAAAAGAAAGGCTAGATACATTTTCTAGGTTACTGAAATATATGTGTGTATATATATATATGTATGTATATGTGTATATATATGTATATATGTGTGTGTGTGTGTATTTATATATGTATACACATATATATATGCAAAACTTGAATTTGCACCTGGTTCTCCAGATTAAATTTAGTACTATTCTTAAATTATGAAAAGGAAGAGTTAATAGATGCACAGAACTTTCCAAGGGAGAACAAAAATCTCCACCATAATAATCAGCAAGATTCTTATACTGCCATGATCACTGCAGATGGCAACGTGGAGTGAGAAGACCACAGCAGCTAGGTGGACCTGGGTTCTGATGGAAACAATAAAAGGAGAAAATCATCACCACAGCGTTAGTGAGACTTACCAATTCCTGGTAAATTTTACTGCTGAATTACAATATTAGGAAGATGTCTCACACTAAGGACTTTTTCTAAGGACTCATGGAAGGCAAAAGTGTATTTAGTTAGAATTGACAATTGATGAACCAATTTACAATGCAGACATAATTACAGGACAACACATTCAGGGTTAAGGTCCCAATGTGTAAAGAGGAAAATAGAGATTATAAATAAGGCACTCTGGCTGACAGAATAGACAGACTAACAGAACAGACTAGAGAGGCCAGAATAGACTCATATAAATACAATCAAATAATCTTTGACAACGAAGAAAAGACAATATAATGGAAAAAATAGAATCTTTTCAACAAGTGGTGCTAAAACAACTGGACATCCACATCCCAAAATAAAAATTAAAAAAAATCTATACACAGATCCTATAGCTTCACAAAAATTAACTCAAAATGGATCATAAATCTAAATATAAAACAAAAAGCTACAAAACTCCTAGAAGATAGCATAGAACAACAATCTAGATTACTTGGGTATAGTGATGGTGTTTTTAGATTCAACACCAAAGATCTAATCCATAAAATACATAATTTAGATGGTTTCATTTAAAATAAGTACTTCTGCTCTGCAAAAGATACTATCAAGAGAAAGAGAAGACAAGTCACAGCTTTGGAGAAAATATTTGCAAAAGGCTTATCTGATAAAGGACTATTATCCCAAATATATAAAGAGCTCTTAAAACTCAGCAATAAAATATATTTAAAAATAGGCAAAATACCTGAGTAGAGCCTTCACCAAAGAAGATGTCCAGAAGGCATATAAGCATATGAAAGGATGGTCAATATCATATGTTGTTAGGGAAATGCAAATTAAAGCAACAATTATACACCTCTTAGAATGCGCAAAATCCAAAACATTGACAACACCAAGAGTTCACAAGGATCTAAAGCAACAAGAACTCATTCATTGCTGGTGGAAATGCAAAATGGTACAGCCACTTTGGAAGACAATTTGGCAGTTTCTTACAAAACTAAACACACTGTTGCTATACAACCAACCAATCAGTCTCCTTCATATTTACTCAAATGAATTAAAAACTTATTTTTATACAAAATCTGCATGTTAATGTTTATAGCAGCTTTATTTATAATTGCCCAAACTCGGAAGCAACCAAGATGTCCTTCAGCAGATGAATGAATAACTAAACTGTGGTACATCTTAACAAAGGACTACTATTCAGGATTAAAAAGAAATAAAAAGACATGGAAGAAACAAATGCATATTACTAGGTGAAAGAAGCCAATTAGAAAAGGCTCCATAATGTAGGATTCCAGCTGTATCACATTCTGGAGAAGATCAAATTATGTAGGGAGTAAAACGATCACTGGCTGCTAGGGAAAGGATGGATAGGTGGAGTGAGGGGATTTTTAGGGCAGTGAAATTATTTTGCAAGATACTACAATAACAGACACGTCATTATATATTTGTCAAAATCCCTAAAATATACACCAAGAGTGAATCCAAATGTAAACCATGGGTTTGAGTGATGATACAGTTTGGAGTTTTGTCCCCTCCAAATCTCGTGTTGAAATATGATCCCCAATGCTGGAGGTGGGGTGCATCATGGGGTGAATCCCTCATGAAGGGCTTGGTGCCATCCCTGAGGTAATGAGTGAGTTCTCTATTTATTCATGTGAGAGCTGGTTGTTTAAAAGAGCCTGGCCGCTCTCTTGCTCACTTTCTTGTCATGTGACAGGCCTGCTCCCTCTTCACCTTCCATCACGATTGTAAGCTTCCCGAAGCCCTCACTAAAAGCAGAAGCTGACTCTGTGCTTCTTGCACAGCCTGCAGAACCGTAAGCCACAGTCAACTTTTCTTCATAAATTACCTAGCCTCAGGTTTTCATTTACAGCAACACAAAACAGACTAACAGAAGTGATAATGATATGTCAATGAAGGTTCACCAATTGTAACAAATGGACCACTCTGGTGCAAGATGCTGATAGAGGAGTAAGTTGTGCCTTTGTGGGGGCAGGGTGTATGCGGAATATCTCTGTACCTTCCTTTCAATTTTGCTGTGAACTTAAAACTGCTCTAAAAAATAATATCTATCTGAAAAAATAAGGCACGCTGGATTATTTGCTGAAAGCAGTGAAGCCTGTTATCTTAAAACTTTGTGATGGGATTGCTGAAAAATTAAGTATTTCTCCTCCCTCAATCTACACTCCTTCATTCAAGCAGTTGGTTAACCATTTGCTCCTGGACTAGGGAAAGGAATTCAGTAACATGGAAATTAGAAATATTCTGCAAATATTATTGTCTTTTGTTCCAAAAGCCTAAGCCCCAAGAAGAAATGGTATTTGGAATTGGGGCAGAGAAAAATTGTTTTAGAAACACGAGGTGGAAAAATTGGCTAGAAAAAACGAAGTCCCTTCCCCACCTTCCCTTAGTCTCCTCTCTAATATAGTTGGAAACAGACGCAGTAAAGAGAAAGTGATGAAAATAGGAAACGGAGTGGACAGACACAGTGGTATGCTGGATCCAGCTTAAATCAACTCTCATGAGCTAAATTTGCACATTTGTGGGTTCAATGACTTTATATTGGAAGCTTGAAAATGGCTATGGACTATGGTGGGAGTATTTACACCACAGAAATTGAAAAACGCCACAGCTGAGAGCTCTGTGTGTGTGTGTGTGTGCGTGTGTGTGTGTGTTGGTTTACTAGTATCATCCTCTGGTTTTTAGTGAGCTGGTTTATTTCTACACATTCTTTCCAGCAGCCCACTGAGGAACTAACAAGACCAATATGACTTTGAAGAGTATTTCAGCTATGTTCCCATGCCCAGCATGGTGTATAGGATGCAGCATGAAAAGGTGCTGGACTCGAAGCCATGTTTAGGTGGTGGTTTATGTTCATGTTGGCTTTAGGATGGATAACTTGACCTGCTGGCCTCCTATCCCTTTGTGCCTTGAGAGTATATATGCTACTCCAGACCCTGACAAAACCTAAGACATTAGATATCAGGACAAATATTTTCTCCTCCAAAGACTAAGATTATTGTCATATTAACCCGGTGAAATAGTGGTTCAAAATTAAGTTGAAATAATAGAACAGAACCTGAAATTTAGTTTACATCCAAGTCTGTTAACTGAGAGGCATACCTGCTATGCCTCCTACTAGTTTATAGATTAAGGATATTTAGAGAAGCAATTTTTAGATAAATTTAAAAAAACTATTATATGTTAATTGTAGAATAACCATAGAGAATTGCAGTAAAAATATTATCCAAACTCTAACAGATGTATTCAGTGATTATAGCTATAGATTTGGAGTATTAAGAGCTTGTTTGGGGTAATTCCAAGGGCACATACCACTATATTTTTAAAGTTAACATGGATATTGATGTATTGATGCTACATAATAATATAGAAAATTATGAACGTTAAGTTATCTCCAATGTAGAGAGGCCTGCTTTCTCCATCTCTTCTTAAAGCCGTCCCTTTCTAATATGTGTGGCATATCTCTGGGACTATACAGAAGTATACTCCATTACAGGTAAAGTTATGCATCTGAATTTCCACCAATAAATATCAAATGATTGAAAGACGAAGAATGAATGGACACACCATCTCTAACTCCAAAAAGACTAGTGAGAGGGCTGTTACAGACTCAATAAAGTCAAATTAGAATAATGTGAGAAAAGAATGGACTCTCACTAAAAATTGATGAGCATATGAAGTAATGCATATGTTAATTAACTTGATTTAACCATTCCACCATGTATACATATTTCAAAACAACATGTTGTACATGATAAATATATAGAATTTTATTTGTCAGTAGAAAAGTAAGTAAGAAATTTTAATAGAGAACAGACTCACATAGTTATAACTTTTGTGGTTAGAACACTTAATATCCACACTCCTAGCATTTTTTAATAATATATCATCATTAACTATAGTCATCATGCTGCACAATAAACCTCTAGAACGTATTCTTCCTATCTAACTGTAATTATGTGTATTTTGACCAATATCTCTCCCTGACCCTCAACCACCCCAGGCTCTAGTAGCCACCATTCTATAATCTAATTCTATAAGATGAACTTTTTTAGATTCTACAAATGAGTGAGATTGTGCAGTATTTTTCTTACACTTGAAAACGTTGTATATGATAAACATATATCGTTTTATATGTTAATTAAAATAAATTTGAAAAAAGAATAGACTCTACAGAAATAATTAAGTGATATTTGTCTCTCAGCATGTTTTTTGCACTTTCAATAACGCTATGGTTTGGATGTTTGTCCCCTTCAAAACTTGTGTTGAAATTTGATCCCTAAGATTGGAGGTGGGGCTTCATGGGTGGTGTTTGGGTCATGGCGGTGAATATATTAAGGCCCTCCTTTGGGGGTGAGTGAGTTCTAACTCTATGGTTCCCAAGAGAGCTGGTTGTTAAAAAGAGCCTGGCATCCCCCCACCCCCACCACCTCTTGAGTCCTCTCTTGTCATGTGATCTCTGCACATGCTAACTCCCTTTCAACTTCCACCACCAACAAGCCTGAGGTCCTCACCAGATGCATAATCTTGAACTTTTCCAGACATCAGAGTCATGAGTCAAATAAACCTTGTTTCTTTACAAATTACCCAGTTTCAGGCATCCTTTTATAACAATACAAAACAAACTAAGACAAATAACATATTCATAATAAGATACCCAGAGATTTTTCTTCTTTAAAAGAATAAAACTGTCTTATTCACTGTGTCGTTTCTGCATTTAAGAGTAACATGTCAGGTGCCTTTCCACCAGGATGCCTATTTAAACCTCAATGGTATAAGAATCATAAGCAACTGAATGAAAGACCTTCACTCCAAGAAGGGATCTACTTTTTACCTTTCACCGGGTCACTATCTAACATTAGATATCTCTCCTTTTAACAAGCAAAAATATCCAGCTTTATTTAGGCCTCGTAAAAAAAGATTTAAAGTCAGCTAATGAAATGTCAAATTCTATATTTTTGTTAAAGGGGCAGTAGAGAAAAGGAGTAGGATAAAAGCCAGATGCTGGTTTGTGACCTCTAAACATATTCTGAGCAAATGAATATCCCAATTACAAGTAATATTACTGTCATGGATCATATGTGAAATTATAGCAGATAAACTTTCAGATGCTCATATTTCTTTATGTGTGCTATGTGACTTTTTGTGTCTATAGAGCATGCATGCACAC
Source organism: Homo sapiens (assembly GCF_000001405.40). NCBI lineage: Eukaryota > Metazoa > Chordata > Mammalia > Primates > Hominidae > Homo > Homo sapiens. The sequence continues at coordinate 145,424,794 of NC_000007.14, forward strand.
ATGCACCATTGTCTTGGAATAAGTCACAAAGGCAAGCATAGGTTCTTGTGGAAGGATTCCCTACACTGATTCCTCTCAGAAAGGCAAATGGTTGTAGAATACCAAAAACCGCATGCAAAACGGAAAGGAAAGAAGCTTTTTAATGATATTTAAATTGTAATTATAAATAGAAAATCGATTTCCTAAAGTGATCTGGTGGGTTTTAAACATCTTTATTCACTCTCAGTGACTTTTACATTGAATGTTCTCAGTTTATAAATCAAAAGATCATTTTTAGTTGCCAGTATTGTAAATTCCACCTGCAATCTATTAATCAAGCTATGTTCCTTTTCTCTGACATCATCAGCAGTAATAAGGATTCTGCAAATGGAACTCAGCTGACAGTGTTGTAGTTGATGTATGAGACAAAAAGAATCCAGCTTGCTTTTTCATAACTGCATTGGTTCAGCAGGAGGTAATGGTGTTAAAAACTTGCTTTCTATTACTGAGGTAAGTAGATATTAGGCCAAGACACCCAGGGAGAGAAAAGAGTGTTGAGTGAATCTTGGCAAAATTCACCCTCTGGCATCAGCCATCCTTACCGTTTGCTTCAGTTTATGTGGTCCCCTAACCATTAAGTTGTATTTTGTTTCATTATAATAAAAGTGCAGTTGGAAAGGCTGATAGGCAAAACAAAATCACAGGATTCCCCTCCAATGTGTAGATTCATAACTCTTTATAATGGATTGTCACTTCTTTATTGTAATTGAATAATCAACCAACACAAAATGTTCATTACATGGCTCAAGAGAATGGCCCAACCCAAATTCCCATGGAATGTCTAAAAGGCAAGAATGTGTTATAAAAGAAAGGCAGGTAAAATATGTACAGTTGGAAAATAGAATCACAGACTATTTTTAGGAAGCATCCAATTCAACCTCTAAATTACAGATATAAATAAAATAAGACTGTTAGATGTCCCAAGTTCAAAAGCTGGGTAGTGAGAACATATCTGAATCTGAATTTTAAGACTTTTTTCCAATATTAATTTCAGCACACATTGTTTTCATGTAAACCTGAATTTTAATCCTTACTGCACCATTTATTAGCTTTGCACTGTGAGCAATGTTTTTTTTCCTCAGAGTTAATTTCCTCCTGTCTCAAGTGAAAATAGCAATATATAAATATAAAATTCATAAGGCTATGTTGAGGGTTACATGAGACTGCTTATTCAAAGTGCCAAGAATAATTCCTAAGACATCTTAGGTGCCAAATGAAGGTACTATAATTAGTATACATCACCATTGTGATGGTTAATTTTATGTGTCAACTTGGCACAGGCTATATTGCCCAGTTCTTTGGTCAAACACCAATCTAGATGTTACTCTGAAGATGTTTTGTAGAAGTAATTAACAATTACAATCAGTTGACTTTAAGCAAAAGGGATTACCCCTGACAATATGGGTGAGCCTTATCCACTCAGTTGAAAACTTTAAAAGACAAATCTGAAATTTCCAGGAGAGGAAGTATTTCTGTCTCAAAACTGTTACATAGTCATCCTTTCTGAGTTTATAGTCCAATACCCTGCCCTACAGATTTTGGATGTGAATTTGCTAGCCACCACAATCACATGATTCCTTAAAATAAATCTTTTTTTTTTTTTTTTTTTTGAGACCGAGTCTTGCTCTGTCGCCCAGGCTGGAGTGCAGTGGCGCAATCTCGCTCACTGCAAGCTCCGCCTCCCGGGTTCATGCCATTCTCCTGCCTCAGCCTCCTGCGTAGCTGGGACTACAGGCGCCCACCACCACACCTGGCTAATTTTTCATATTTTTAGTAGAGACGGGGTTTCACCATGTTAGCTGGGATGGTCTCGATATCCTGACCTTGTGATCCACCCGCCTCGGCCTCCCAAAGTGCTAGGATTACAGGCGTGAGCCACCACGCCCGGCCTAAAATAAATCTTAATACTTCTCTCTCTCTCTCCCCCTACCCCCAATTATTTGTTTCTCTGAAGAACCTTGACTGATACAATTATAAAAATAATTTTTAAAAGAAGGAAGCTGATGTCCCCTCACCCAAACATTTTGTTAATCTGAGAACAATATCTGACTCTGTACTCCCCCAACTTGCTTTGATGTAATCATTTTATCCTTACTTCAATATACAAAATATCAGAGTTTTATCAGGCATGGGCATTGCCGATCTTAGTTGATGCTCTTCATTTGCAGATCAATAAACAATATCACCACTCTTCTTAGAATTTCTCAGAGAGAGAACTCAGCCAGGTCTCCTAACTAGTTTTTCAGTAGGTCACCACTTTCAAAACATACCGTTTCGTGCTTAGATTACTTACTTAATGACTTGATGTGGCAATTTGAGTATATACTATGTAGTATACATCTTCTATATTTTAGCAAATGGGATGAAATAATATTTTCATACCCTTTAAACATCTAGATTATTTTGAACTCATGATAAACGGGAATAATTTTAAATAAGAATAGATAATTTAAAGAATAAAAAGCAACTGCACTGGATACCATTGTCACAGTTGTTTTTATCTCTCCTGCCTCCGTTATTGTCTTTCCTGAGAAAAAATGCTGACCCATTGATGCTATTTCTGGATACTGACATTTATGATAGCAAAGAGATTTACAAAAATGAGTTGTTTTCACTTTATATTTATCTTTTAAAATATTGTGGTCATTTCATTTATCCTCATGGACTTATTTTAAAATATGGCATGTTTAGGAGTTGGAGATATTTTAAATTGGGGTACAGCATGAATTTGAGTTAGTAATCTTCACAAAGAAAAAAAGGCTATATTAAATTTACAAATAGTTAGAAACCTGTGTTCCACTAGAGTCAGAGAATTGCCTCATCCATCCATGAGCAGGACCCTTTCTGAGGCTGCCAAAATTTATCCAGCAGAATGAGAGGCATCCCTTCTCTTGACCTCTGAGTTAGTGTCAGAGGAGGCCTAGAAGAGAACCAGAACTTTCACTACCACCCCAGCCTAATTGTAAGGAGGCCATATCTCCTTCTGTCCCTTTCTCCTCTCTTCCCTGTCCGCTTTGTGTCAGTAGACGCCAAGTGAGGGCAGTAATGTGAAGTATTCCTACTCTTCCCAGCCAAGGGTGTATCAGCAGAAACCAAGTGGAAGCCTGTACTTCTGTTCCCATCTAGAAGGAAGGAGATGGCATGACTCCCTCCTTCAGTAGAAGTGTCAGAAGAAGCCAGCTAAAACCAGCTTAAGATTCTCATAGCATAAAGCCCCTGATGATTAAGATGATAGAGCTATGGTTATACAGTGGGTGTAGGAAAGAGTATCATTGTCCAAGCAATTCACGTGCAGCATTCCCAGCCTGGGAAAGGCATGGCAAGCAGGGTTTCAATAACTTTCAGAGATGAAGTCTTCATCCCACCTCAGGGAAGACACTGTGGCCAGCCCCAGGTAGGTACAGCTGAGGATAAGGAACATTTATGCCCAAACATCCAGGCATCAGTCTAAAATCACCCATCCTACCAAGAACCAAGAATATCTCAGCTGGAATGGAAAAAGATAGTCAATAGACACCAACACTGAGATGACGGTAATGTTTAAATTATTCGACAAGTTAAAGCAGCAGTTATAAGATGCTTCAAGGAGCAATTATGAATATTCTTGAAACAAGTGAAAACAATAGCAAGTCTTGGCAAAAATAAAAATAGAAAGTCATGATAAAGAAAGTAGAAAATAAAAATGAAAAATAACCATATGAAAATTTTATTACTGAAAAAATGGAATAACTGAAATTTTCATAAATGTAATGGATGGGTTCAGAAGCAGAATGGAGGGGACAAAATCAAAATAGGAGAGTAGAAATTACCTAATCCTAACAACCACATGAAAGTGACTGAAAATAAAAAAGAAAAGAAAATGTCGGGCGCAGTGGCTCACGCCTGTAATCCCAGCACTTTGGGAGGCCAAGGCGGGTGGATAATGAGGTCAGGAGATCAAGACCATCCTGGCCAACATGGTGAAACCCTGTCTTTACTAGACATACAAAAATTAGCCGGGCGTGGTGGTAGGTGCCTGTAATCCCAGCTACTTGGAAGGCTGAGGCAGGAGAATCGCTTGAACTTGGAGGCTGTAGTGAGCCGAGATCACACCACTGCACTCCAGCCTGGCAACAGAGCGAGACTCTATCTCAAAAAAGAAGAAAAGAAAAGAAAGAAAAGAAAAGAAGAAAAGAAAAGAAAAGAAAGAAAGGATCTTCAGGGACCTGTGGGAAAATGAAAAATGTCATCAGAGTGTAGAAGGAGAGGAGAAAAAGGGCAGGGCTGCAAAAATACTCAATGAAGTAATGGTTTCTCAAACGACATAAACTTAAAGATTTGAGGAGCCAAGCAAACTTCAAATAAGATAAATCCTAAGAAATGCACATCAGGATCCATCATAGACAAACTGCTGAAAACAAAAGTCTAGTTTGAGACTAGACTAGATTTTAGTTTTTGTAATGATTGTTTGTTGTTTTTCCTCTGCTATATTCTGGTCATACAAGGTTGAAAGAAAAGGTATGATACTGAATGATAAACCAGGAAATAGTTCTGCCAGTAAAGTGAAAGGGAACAATGGAGTAGGAATGACAAAAATCACAACAAAGAGAGTAGTGCCTGGAAGCAGAAAGAAGGCTGCAGTGAGGAGTCACATACATTGGCAGGTGGTCTCTCTCTCTCTGTCAGGGACTGTGAACCCTCCCATTTGCCATTAATTGCCTTTGCTGCTTAGGTTTGTTTGTGAATTTGGGGTCTTGGTGAAAACATACATAATTTAACTCCAGTATTTTTCTATTCAGACTTAGGAGCTGATTCAATTATGGTCAGATTCTATGATGAACAATAATTATTGAAACCAATACCTTAGTGTAAAAAAGAAAAGGAAGGAGGAAAGAAAAGGAAAGAGATAAGAATGTGGAGAACAGCAAGAGGAGAGAGGGAAAAGAGAGGAATGGAGAAAGAAATAGAGGGAAGGAAAGAAAGAGGAAAAAATCTGAGAGAGTAAAGATATAGAAAAAAAATTTCCATATAGAGGAACTGAGATAATGTATTAGTGTGTTCTCACACTGCTGTTAAAGACATACCTGAGACTGGGTAATTTATAAAGAAAAAGAGATTTAATGGACTCACAGTTCCATGTGGCTTGGGAGGCCTCACAATCATAGCAGAAGGCAAAAGGCACATCTTACATGGCAGCAGACGAGAGAATGAAAAACTAAGTGAAAGGGGAAACCCCTTATAAAATCATCAGATCTCATAAGACTTATTCACTGCCACGAGAACAGTATGGGGGAAACAGCCCCCATGATTCAGTTATCTCCAGCTGGGTCCATCCCACAACAAGGAATTATGCGAGCTACAATTCAAAATGAAATTTGGGTGGGGACACAGCCAAACCATATCAGATGACAAATATTTTTATCTTTGAATCCTTAAACATCTATTTTTATGAACATTTAATACCCAATCTGAATAGTCAGAAAAAAGCACAAGCCTACTACATATACCAGCATCTCAGAGATATTGTGGGTTTGGTTCCAGGCCACCATAAACAAAACAAACAGCACAATAAGGTGAATCACACAATTTTTTTATTTCCCTGTACATATAAAAGTTATGTTTACAAGATACTGTAAGTAAGTGTGCAATAGCATTACCTCTAAATATATATATATATGTATATATAGTAATTTTAAAATACTTTGTTGCTAGTAAATGCAAAGAATAATCGGAACCTTCAACAAGTCATAATGTTTTGGCTGGTGGAGGGATGGTCTTGCCCTGACATGGATGGCTAGCTGATCACTAATCAGATTGGAGTGACTGTGGCAAATAAGATAACAATAAACTTTGCTGCATAAATTGACTCTTCATTTCGTGAAAGATTTATCTGTAGTATGTGATGCTGTTTGATAGCATTTTACTCATAGTAGAACTTATTTCAAAATTGGGGTCAATCCTCTTAAACCCTGCTGCTGCTTTATTAATTAGATTTATGTAATATTCTAAATCTTTTGTTGTCATTTCAACAATGTTCATAGCATCTTCATCAAAAGTAGATTCCATCTCAATAAACCACTTTCTTTGCTCATCCATAAGAAGCAACTCCTCACTGTGAAAGTTTGATCATGAGATTGTGGCATTCAGTCATACCTTCAGACTCCACTTCTAATTCTTGTCATTAATGAGGATTGGAATCAACTTCTTTCAACCTCCTATTAATGTTGATATTCTGACCTCCTCCCATTAATCACAAATGTTCCTAATGGAATCTAGAAAGATTTATCCTTCCCAGAAGTTTTCAATTTACTTTGCCCGGATCCATCAGACGAATCGCTGTTGATGGAGCTATAGCCTTATCAATGTATTTCTTAAATAATAAGATATGAAAATCACAATTACTCCTTGGTCTGTGTGCTGTGGAATAGATGTTGTGTTAACAGGCATGAAAACAACATTAATATTCTTGTACATCTCCATCAGAGCTCTTGGGTGAATAGGTGTCTTGTCAATAAGCAGTAATATTTCAAAAGGAATCTTCTTTTTGAGCATGAGGTCTCAACAGTGGGCTTAAAATATTTGATCCAATTATAGAGCATAGGCAGAGTAGATTGACCATGAATCTTAAGGTCACGAGAATTTTCAGAATGGTAAATGAGCACTGGGTCTTCAACTTAAAGTCACCAGCTGCATTATGCCCTAATGAGAGTCTGCTTGTCTTTGACGATTCGAAGCCAGGCATTGACTTCTCTTCTCTAGCTATGAAAGTCCTAGATGGCATTATTTTTTAAATAGAAGGCTGTTTTGTCTACATTGAAATCTGTTGTTTCATGTAGCCACCTTTATCAGTGATCTTACTAGATATTCTGGATAACTTGCTGCAGCTTCTTCACCAGCACTTGATGCTTTACCTTGCACTTTTATGTTACAGAGATGGCTTCTTACCTTAAATCTTATGAATCGACTTCTACTAGCTTCAGACTTTTCCTCTGCAGCTTTCTCAGCTCTGTCAGCCTTCATAGAATTGAAAAGAGGGGCTTTCTGTGGATTATTAGCCTTTGGATTAAGGGAACGATTTGGCTGATTTGATCTTCTATCCAGACCATTAAAACTTTCTCCATGTCAGCAATAAGGTTATTTCACTGTTAGGCAAAAAAGGCCTAGTTTTTGGTCTGTCTCAGCTTTCAAGGTACTTTCCTCACTAAGCTTAATCATTTCTAGTTTTTGATTCAAAGTGAGAGAAGTGTGACTCTTCCTTTCACTTGAGCACTTAGAGGCTGTTGTAGGGTTATTAGTTGGCCTAATTTCAATATTGTTGCATCTCAGAGAATAAGAAGTCCTGAGGAGAAGGAGAGATGAGGGAATGACTGATCAGTGGAGCAGTCAGACCCACACAACATTTATCCATTAATTTTGCTATTTTATATGGGTGCAGTTTGGGCACCCCAAAGCAATTACAATGGTAACATCAAAGATCACTGGTCACAGATTACCGTAACAGATATAATATTAATGGAAAAGTTTAAAATATGGTGAGAATAACCAACATGTAATACACAGACCTGACACAAATGCAGGCTGTTGGAAAAATGACACTGTTAGACTTGCTGGAGGCAGGGTTGTCATAAACCTTCAATTTGTGAAATACGCAGTATCTGTGAAGTGCAATCAAACTAAGCTCAATAAAATGAGGTGTGCCCATAGATCATTTCATAAAGATTTCTGAGTGAATACTGTGGCTAAACTTACATAGAGGAAACAGTCTTGGCTTTGACTTCCATCTGACCTACTATCCAGCTGCCAGAGAGAAACTAGATACTATTATACAGACATTGACGATTACAGAGGTTAAGGAGGTATGCGTTACTTAGTCTACCAAGAGTCTTTCACATCTACAAGGAGAGATTATGCCGTGTTGCTAATTTTGAAGTCTTTCCCCAAAGAAAATGAAGCTAATATGAAATAAACTGAGAAAATACTTAGAATTTTCGTAGAGTTAACAGACATGTTCTATTCTGTAATGGTGGGACCCTGACAAAAACATTTTAGAGGCGTGGGAAGGTTGAGGAAGAGTTCACTGTATGTCTAATCATTGCCTAATTTGAATCTAGAAGCACACGGAGGCAAGGATAACATGACAAGCAGCTGAAGGACAGGAGGCCAAGTGCATGTGGTGCCAAACACACCTTCACTTACAAAGGATCTTCCCTCTAGGAATGGAAAGAAGCGGTATGATGTACCATGTACAAACTCCATGGAATGAGGTCAGAAAGGGTGGATGCTCTATTGGAGACTGTCCTCAGAAAACATGCTTCTTCCTGGAAAGCTGACATTTCCTCCCAGCTTTCAGCAGGAGAATAAAAAGAGGCAAGCATTTTCAGGAGTGTTGGGATGGAGGATTGTGGAGGGGTTAGAAAAATCGGGGTAGGATGGGTGCAAAAGGCAGTTCTAGAGGGTGAAAATAACTGCAGCCTGCGTGGGAGAAAGAGAGGGCTGAGAGCTTGATTTTGGGAGAAGTGAGAGAAAGACTGCTAGCTAGTCAAGAAAGTGTTAAGACTATGCTGGGATAAGGAGTTTGGGCTTGATCTAATAAGTACTGAGATTGCTAGTAGGAGGAAATAGATAACATATGTGAGAGCACTTAGTAAGTGGAAAGACTGTATGCTAATGTGAGGCATTACGACAGTTATTCTCATCCACTGCAGGTTCCTGGGCAGGGGAGTAACATGATAAAAGCTCCGCTTTAGGAGAGTAGTGTGGAAATAATGTGCAGAAAGGCCTGTAGAGGAGAGAGAGGGAGAGGCAAGGGGATCCGCAGGCCTCTGCTGACACCAGCAGAACTGAGACTTTCAAAGTATTCCTTGAAAAGTGAATGTCCTCCTCTGTCTCCTTTCCCTCCCCACCATGCCCTGAGGAAAGCCTCCTTTTTGCCTGAATGCAATTAGATCCTGTTTCCGTTTTTTAGGTAAAGACAAAAGTGGTAAAGGGTGAGGAATTTTACAAGTGCTGGCCATAGTAGCTGTCTATCTGTGCTGCTGCTTCTGTATTTGGCTGAGCGCATCTATCTCTTCCTCCTTCTCTTCTCATTCAAGAGAGATGGGTGTCACAGTGGTAACACAGATCTGTTTGTCGTTCTACAAAGAGAAACTGAATTAGAGCAGAAGCTGGACCTCTGATTCTCACTTACTCATGGCTTGGGGGGATCCTAGATACACACCTTATACTACTAATCCAATATAAGGTGAACTCAGCATCTCGTTTCTGCTTCTTCCAAAATTAAGCTTCTAGGCTGAGTGTGGTGGCTCGCGCCTGTAATCCCAGCACTTTGGGGGGCCGAAGTAGGTGGATCACTGGGGGTCAGGTGTTCGAGACTAGCCTGGCCAACATGGTGAAACCCCGTCTCTACTAAAAACACAAAAGTTAGCAGAGCGTGGTGGCAGGTGCCCGTAGTCCCAGCTACTCAGGAGGCTGAGGCAAGAGAATCACTTGAACCCGGGAAGCGGAGGTTGCAGTGAGCTGAGATCATGCCACTGCTCTCCACCCTGGGCTACAGAGCAAGACTCCGTCCCAAAAAAAAAAAAAAAAAAAAGTAAGCTTCTAAACCAAACCCCTTGTGGGCCTTGTAACCAATTTTAATACCTCGTTAACAACAACAAAAACGTAATGAAAAAAACCCATGCATTTTTAAACAAGATAAGTCCTTAGGGATGGAAAAAGACCTTAAGACCTAATGTATATAGAAAGGAGAAAACATTACATAGAATAAAGGGTCAAGGTGGATAATACAAAACTTCAATTCAGAGAGAAAAATGAGTGTCCTACAGGTTGAGTGATGGATTGCTGGTAACAAAATTAGAAATCAATATGCTGTATAGAAATTAGTCAGTGTAAGACCAATAGCAAAATACAGTAATCATTTTTAGAGATGAGATTGAGAATAAAAACAGAAGTATTTGGATCAAAGTGGAAGTCACCACACATTTGTCAAGGGAAAAAAAGCAAAGACTGTCAAAATATCATAGTCTTTTCTTTTTCCTTCTTTCTGGGAAAGTTTAAATAAACAAAAAGCCCCCAAGCAGTCAACCCTTATAAGTGTGTCAGAAGAAGAACCACACTAACAGTAACATCTGCTGGTAAGCAATAGTATTTGCACACATCATTTGCTATTTACGTCATTGCAATAGGCATCTTTTTGTAGGCTGTCTTGGAACGCTAGTCTGATTATCAGCATGTGCTCACCATGCTTACTGTGAAGCTAGGAAGAGTGGCTGATGAGGTCTGAGCCTTTTAATATAGAGTCTTTCCAAATACGTGCATGTGAGCGAATGCGCACGCGCACAACACACACACACACACACACACACACACACACACAACCAACTACTCACCCTGTCTTTACTCAAGGAAAGTATGTAAAAGACATTAGCTTCTAGACTTTCTTACTTCATAATGCTCCACAGTGAAGTGCTTTATAACTTACCATCATTATGTTTATTTATGAAATAGCAAAAATGAGTAAGAAACCCTGAGATTCTTTACTGTAACCATGGTGATGTTGTAGGGCTAGGGAATTGTGCACTTCTGTTATAGAAAGCAAGAGAGTGTGCTCAAGATCACAAGGAAGGCAAAGATAAAGGGAAATAATGAATCGCCTTATAGTGAAAGAAAAGACGAATGCTGGAGCATAAAACATGCATGTGCTTCAGATCACATCTTATCATTTATAGATCTTAAGAGGGAGCAGTTGTTTTGTTCTGATAGTGCTCTTGTTCTTTCTGTCCTGGATTCAGGATGGAGTGGTTTAGGTAGACAAAATGATGAGCCTAGGGCTTATGGATAAGGCTTTGTTGTACATGAAGCTCAATCTGTGTTATCCTGGATGGAAGAATCCTCTAAAAGGAAATAAATATATCCAGCTTGAGGTCATACTGGCCCTCTTGATTATTTATGTATGTGATAGGAGTAATTTGAATGTAAAGATAGGGCTTAATATATACAAATGTCATAATTGTATGTATATAATCGTACATATTATTTTTTCTTCATACCCATACTAATAGTCTGTACCCATACTAATGTGTGTGAAGAAAAAGGATTAATAATGTGTAATGGTCTTCTGACTCACTTGGGTAGTCTATTGACATTTAGGGATGTAGATGAGGACCAATAGGTAAGAGAAAAACAGAAACTGTATAGGAGGTGATGAACCTATGTAGGGTGGTATGGTAGAGGTAATAAGTCTTCAGGGGAACCAGTGACTGTATTACTTGACAAAGTCAAGCTGGTTTTTCTGAAAAAGGAAGTATGGGAAGTAGACGTGGAATTTCCCCAGTAGAGATAAAAACATTGGGAATGATGTTAAAAAAAAAAAAAAAAGACAGAGAGATGTTGGGTAAAATATAGTGAAGGTGGAACAGCATTGGGTCTACAGAGAGAAGATCAGCATGAAAGCTGGTGAAGTGTTCCATGCCTGCTGTGACAACACAGCTTACTACAAATGAAAGGTCTTGCATTCAAGTCCACTCTGTAGCCTGAAATATAAAGAAAGGAATGCTATCCTGCCACTTACTTTCTAATAAAGTATTTGGGGGCCTTCCTAGCTCAACTTATGTGCTTTTGTTGTAATTAGATTCGAATATGTAGTTTGAGGAATGTGCATGTTTTCCAACATTTTTAGGGTTTTTATTTTATATCCTGAAAATGGTTATGTTTTATAATAGTTCTCTTTTTTCCCCCAACAGATTCACTAACAAAATGGACACATTAACTTTACACTATGTTACAGTTACGGATTATATTTTAATATCAGACAGCTGTTTTTGTATCATGTATAGTTCCAAAGAGGGCAGTAGGAAATAATGCAAATGGCTCTGTTAGCCAGTCCCCAAATGCTGTAAAGGCGCTCAGAGCACAAGGCCTTTTGTGGATGTGTGTGAGTCAGTGATATCATTTCTAAACATTAAAGATAAATTGAATTTAAGGATAATGAAAACCTTGCATTTTTAGTTATGGTAACGCCTCACTTTTTTAGAGACCTCTATTTACAACTTCAAATGTTTAGAATACAGTCAATTAACCTGTAGTGAGCAAGACAAGACATCACCAGACCTCTGGGATGTTATTAAAGTAATTTAAGTTCACTTAATTTTGGTGAGAGCATACATTTATATAACTGCTGAAAAAAGAATTTGGCTGCACGTATCTAGAACCTAAATTTTTTATAATCTTAGAATTTGAATTCACAACTACAAACCCATGTTGAAGTTTTCATTGGAATAAGATGCTTTTCATAGAATTATAGATCAAAATGGAAATAAAATACCAACATTATGTGAAACAAACAGAAAATGTTCAACAAACCATGACATAGTCACATTAGGAAGTTTATGCAGAAATAAAAGTTGTCTTTGAAAATAATTTATTGACAGGGAAAAATATTCCAATTTAAATGATAAGTGAAAAAAAGCAGGATACAAGCTGTGGCATTAAAAATAATATTAATAATAATGATAATCATTCTAATAGTAATAATATTAAAATGTATATAATATAAAGCATACTAAAATGTGGAATTATTTCTGGCAGCTGAGATTAAGGTTCATGTATTCTGCATATTTAAACTCATGTACATTTTATAATTTTAAAAATAATGAACATATGCTAATTTTACAGTCAGAAAAAAAGACAGAGAACAAACAAATAACTTTTATAAAATGCAAGCTCATATACTTTACTTTTGAATGATCTCTCATAGCCAGCAAATTCTTATTTTAAACATTTAATGATTGGATTTCAAGCTAACAGCAAATTGGTAGCAGAAACTTAAAAGGAGGGATGATGAGGAACTACTATAAAGAGACACAGTGACAAAAATATGAAAAGTAAACGACAACTTGCCACCCATGAGAGAAACGGGAATATTATGGGAAAACGTGCAAGTCCTCTAAAATCATAGCACACTGAGGCCATTTTAAATAAAGACTAATGAGCTACCAATCCCAGCAGCCTTTCAGAAAATCAATAAAATGTGAGAGAAAAGGTCTTTGCTGAAAATTAAAGTAACTTCATTTTAGTTCCTGCTCCTGACATTTCCTAGCGTGTGATTTTGAAGAAGTTTATGGAATATCTTTAAGACTCAGAATTCTCAGCTTCTAAATGGAAAAAAAGCACGTAATTTTTATTAGTTTGTACATCTTTTTCACAATCCACTGAGGTCATGTAAAAGTGTTTCAATAATCCCTTTTGCACATTTGGGATGCTAATAGTATGTGGTATATTAACTAATGCTAATAAGTCCAAATCAATAAACATTAAAAATTTTTTTTATGTGTAGTCTAATAGAAATAGGTATACCACGCTTTAGAAATACACACACACACATATGTGTATAATCTTATACATATATATGTATAAGATATATATATGTGTGTGTATATATATGTGTGTGTGTATTTCTAAAGCATATATATATATATATATATATACACACATACTTGCAAATAGATTACAATGAATATATTTTGTCTATCTCTGGAACGTCTCTTGTTTTGGGAGATATTGTGGCGTGATGGAATGACTTGGGGTTTGGGGCCAGGCAGATTTGGCTCAGGTCCTGGGCTATTTTATCACTTAGCTAAATGGCCTTAGGTAGGTTTATTCTCTCTGAGTTTTAATGTCTTCATCTGAAATGTGCTGAACTCATGTAGATTAGTAGTCACTGCTCAGTATCTAGTAATTATTTCATTTTTTAAAGTAGAAAGAGTCGGTCATCTTGTAAAAATTATTAGGTGGCACGGTTTGATCTCAGAGAATTTTGGATAATAAGGTGCATCTGCATTTCAAAATTCTACAGGATCAACCTGAGGATGTATTACCTGTCATTTCAGGTAATAAAATATTACCTCATTTACCAGACAATAACTAGATAATGCCTCTACCTCTGAGTGCACAGTGGTAATAACTGCTCTGGGAAAAACCTTGTCATTGAGGAGATTGAAACTATTGGTTAGATTATATTTTAGACTATTTGTAAATTACAATTATTCATTCATAATTAGGTGCCAATAAGAGATGTTAGTGGCTTTATTATCATGGCTTTAAAAAATACTGCATCTTCAAGTTGGAGAAGAGAACCAGGAGTAGTCAAGAAAATCTGAATAGTCATACTCCTCATTAAAATTGAGCACAGAAACTATCTTATAAACTTAATAGAACTAATACTGCCTGTTTGGCATGCAGATTTTCTTGAATTTTAATAATATAAAAATATTGCTTAGAATCAATGTATTCTAAAGTTATGAATATCTGTGGAAGACATATTTCATGATGATGCAAATTCTAAGCTGGTGAAACACAGTATAAAAGGGAAATAGACTGGGAATAAAAACATCTGCTTCTGTTAAGTTACACAGATGGTTCTCCAGGAAATCTCTTTTTTGAGATTGATTTGAACCAGTTCTCCCAGCATAGTACGTGTGTGATGGGTCAATATTTTCTTCTTTTTTTTTCTGCTTTCTTTTGGGGACAATAAGTCTGCTTTAGGATTCTGGAGTTGGAAAAGCCACCTTGCAAAAAATCTAAATGCGATTTTCTATTCTCTTATTTAACCATTGATTTTTGTTTTCAAAGTCATATTAGTTGTGGATATCACAGAACAATCTTCCACATAGTAGAATTCTTCACTTTGAACTCAGGGAAATGCTGGGTTTAAATGTATACTTGGCTTGAGGATTTTGAGCTTTCCCAGAAGCCACTGCAGTCTCTCCAGTCTTCAGGTGTGCCTCTCCACATTGCCATCTGTGGCATACAGCCTTGAAGTTGGCCCCCAATGACCCCCTCTTACTGGTAATCATGCCCTTGTATTATACCCTCCTTTTGAGTAGGCGCTGGACCTAGCAGCTTACTTAAAAACAAATAGGGTAGTGGCAGAAGTGACGGTATGTCACTGACAAGATTGGGTTATTAAAAACTGTGCTTCCATCTTGGTATTATTCACTCTGAGGAAGCCAGATGGCATGTTGTGAGAATGTTTAGGAAGCCTGTGGATAGACCTCTGTGGCCCAAACGTCAATGGGGAAATGAATTCTACAAAAAACTATGTGAATGACATTAGAAACTGTCCTCCTGCCCTGATTGAGCCTTGAGGAGACTGCAGACAGCTTGACTGCAGCTTCATGAGAGACTCAGAGCTAGGCCTGCCCATCAAAACCATATGCATGCTCATGACCTTTGGAAACAGTGTAAGATGATAAATGTTTGTTGTTTTAAAATGCTAAGTTTTGGGGTATTTTACTATTGTCCTCCATTATTTCTTTATTAAAACGGGAATAATAATAGCTCCTGCAAGGGGGTGTTATGAGGATTAAAATATGATAATGTATATAGACTGCTTCTTTGCAAAGCACTTTTCAAATTGCATTGTTGGTTAAAAATTTTAGTCCGGTAAATGGTTTATCTGTTTTCAGAATAAAATCAATTTGAAAAATAAGCTATTCAAATTTTGGTTATGATGAAGAACAATTTTGAGAGCTATTTAAATTAGAATTTTATATACAACAGAGCCTCATATGGGAAAATTATTCATATATATATACAGTATTGCTAAATATGGATATATTAGTTCTACACACAGGGATATGTTTTTAAGAAAACGTAGTTATAAAATAACAGGTAAGAGAAATCTGATTAATTTAGATTGTTGTTAACAACAAACTCCAGCTAAACCAGAGAAAGAATCATATGAACCCCAGATGTTCTTTCAGCTGGTGAAAAAAAGAAAGACAAGCAGAGTGTACTTTATTTGGACTTACCTGGAGTCATACTTGACCTCCTGACCTCACAGCATTGTTGTGAGGGACTAATGAGATAATGCGAATAGTCAATGGTCAAACTAAATATCAATTCATTTAATAGAGGAATTAATAACAGTTTATTGAAAGTCTTCTCATTTCTACTTTGGTTATGTTGAGTTGCACCATAGTTAAGATGAGAGGCTTTATAAAGGATGATAATGATGGTGATTATAATGGATTTCTTAAGGTTTGAGATGGGGCAGGAAGCCAGAAAAATCTGCTTTCAATGAAGTAGGATGTTTTCCATTCCTAAGGACCTGGAGATAATGTCACACATTCCCAATCACTGAAGGTGCTGTTCAGAAAAAACACTTGACAGACACTTGTGAGTGAAAATGGAGAGCCTCAGTAGTTGGACATGTGAGGTTATGCCATGGAGAGTCAATGAAATGGGACAGGATCATCAATCAGTGTCGTGTTTAGGTTTTATCTCATAGGTGACTTAGAACAGTATCAAATCTATAGCAACCTCTAAATATGCCCTTAGAAATAAAAAAAAATTAGCATTAAAGAATTTTTGATAACAAGGCTGGAAATTTTTGCCACCAGTCATGCTGTCAACAGGGTGAATGGACACCAAGTAGAGTTTATTTATACTGAACAATGATACATATACATATATATGTACATATGTACATGTATGTACATATATATGTTACTCCTAGTTCAAGAGGAGATATTCTAGTATAGATGTATAGATGAAAATAATTTAGGGTGTCTAATTTTTTAATCCCAAATACTTATATATTTAAAAATTTGGATTTTTCTTTTCAAATTTCAGGAAGTAATACATGCATGTGCCGGAAATTATGTAAGAACACAAAAACTCTGGGGAAACCCTGTAGTCAAACATATTAGTATTTCTGCAGTGCAACTTATGATGATGTTTGGCTAGATAAAGGAATACTGTAGGAGTTTATTTTTATAGTAAAACACTTGTACATGAAATACAGGGAAAATAAAGACTATCCACATTCTAGTACTTCTTATTTCTATGAAAAATATTTTGTTAAAATTCGACCTAGTAAAGTTCGAATGTAAGCCAAATATCTCTCTATATTACAGCATTTGGTTGCCGCTGAGTCTTGAATAGGTGGATACATCATAATGATATTAGCATTGCCAGCAGGTTGTATTTGGGCATTTGATGATGGGTTAAGTTTATGATTCTTAAGTGATAATGCAGCAGCTGAGAATGGGATTTATCACTAAATGAGTTTGAGCACTAGATTTAGGTGAGAAAATATCAGTTTTTACAGCTTTTCAGATTGAGGTCTGAGAATGAAGAATTATGTATATACTATATAATTAGATAAAAGTAAAACATTTTATAATTTCACTTTAGATCACTGGTACATAAACAGTTAAATAAGTAATTGGACTTTTTGGACTGTTTTACTTATTAATGAAAAAGTCATAGGGATATGTAATTTGTCACATTCTCTTTAGTTTTCTATCGTTATTTTAACTGAGCAAATCCTGCACATGTGGATCAAAGTAGCTAAGAATAAAATTAGATTTTGATATTTAAGTTTTTTCAGTAATCAGCATGGTTCAAACATCTGGAAAAATTAGAATTTTTTTATATTTATATGTAATGTGTTTATGTATGAGAATAAATATCTATAATTAATTCACATGGATGTTTCCATCATAAGGATATATTTATACCTATATATATAAATGTGAAAAATATATATTTGTTAATTAAACAAACACACATCCAGCATATACCAAAGTCCTAAAAGGAACTTGATCAAAAAAATGAAAACAAAATTGGTATATCTTGTGTGCGATTAGGGCTGTGATTTTATTTTTAGTTGATATCAGAAGGAAGATGGCTACACATATGGATATATGAGTGGCTTAATTGGGATTGCATTTAGCTAACTACCGATATAATGGTTCTCTTGTTATTTTTAAAAAAAAATCAGGCCTGTGCAGTGACTCACGCCTGTAATCCCAGCACCTTGGGAGGCTGAGGCGGGTAGATCATTTGAGGTCAGGAGTTCGAGACCAGCCTGGCCAACATGGTGAAACCCCACCTCTACGCAAAATACAAAAATTAGCTGGGCATGGTGGTGTGCGCCTATAATCCCAGTTACTCAGGAGTCTGAGGCAGGAGAATTGCTTGATATCTGCCATATGCCATACCCTTCACCTACGGAAGTGTCCTAGTCTCTGAAAATTGGTTCCAAAATTAGAACTATTGAGACCTTGTATTCCTAGCACCTGTAACAAATTTCAAAACTGATAAGAATGAAGAATTCCAAATGTCTGATCTAAACCAAATGCAACTGGTTTGAAATTAATTATTGCATCTTATTAATAAAACTAATCTCAATAATTTTCTAAGGTTTTATAAAATGTTAAGTAGTTTTAGCTCTTATTGGGATGATGGAAAAATTTAATTCAAAGGTTACCAAATTTAGAGAGGGATTTCAAAAAACTGACAAGTGCTTACCTCCTTATTTTAATTGAAAAAAATCTTAATCAGAGAAACCACGTGCCTGATAGATCTCTTTGAACTGTGTCTAGAGCTGGAACTTTTCTAAATGTAAGGAAAAAGCCAGTAATTATCTTTACAATGAGATTTGATTAAGTAAAAGAGAAATTGAAAGAATACACATATTTGCTGCATAAAGCTGCCTTTCATTTATAAACTCACTTGTTATGTTCAACAAGGCCCTCCTGGTTCCTCCAAAAGCAAAATCCCCTACTCTCCATAGGTACAGGCCTCTCATTTCTGTTTACCTTATCTAGACTAAACACACTGGCTGAATGCGTTTATGTAGTCCCAAAAGGCTGTCAAAGTTATTCGGGTTTATGTAGCATAGCAGTTTTGGCAAACTCACCATGAGTCTACTTAGCAGAGGAAGCGGAATAATGGATCCAGTTCTACTAACCATGAATCCAGTTAGCAGAGGAAAAAGAGTAACAGATAATGTTTAACAAAGATGGGATTTAGGATTAGACAGTTTTTCACTGAAATCTCTGCTCTACATTGTGACACTGGGAAAAATAAACCTCTTTATGTCTTGATTTTCTCGGCTGCAAAGTGGGGCTAATAGTACCCTTTATACACTAATTTTGAGTATTAAATGGGATAATATAAAATACTCAGCAAAATACCTGGAATAGTTAGGTGTTTAATAAATAGTAGTTATTTTTATTGCAATAATAAATACAGTAATCCTCAATGCAGGGCTCTGAAGAGGTTTTCTGGTAGTCATTGAAGTTACAGAAAATAGTGACCCAAGTTAAAAGTTGATCTATAATACAGAGGGTATGTGTGTCTTACTGCAGCCTGGCTATTACAAAATACCCTGCACTGGGTGGCTAATAAAGAACATAAATCTATTTCTCACACTTTGGAGGTGGCAAGTCCAAAATAAAAGTGCTAGCAGACTCATTGTCTCGTGAGAGCACGCTTTTTCATAGATGGCACATTCTCACTGTGTCCTTACATGGCAGAAGGGGACTAGCTAGCTCTCTGGGGTCTCCTTTATTTTTGTTTTATTTATTTATTTATTTATTTTTGAAATGGAGTTTTGCTCTTGTTGCCCAGGCTGGAGTGCAGTGGCACGATCTCGGCTCACAGCAACCTCCAGCTCCTGGGTTCAAACGATTCTTCTGCCTCAGCCTCCTGAGTAGCTGGGAATACAGGTGCCCACCACCACGCCCAGCTAATTTTTGTTATTTTTAGTAGAAATGGGGTTTTACCATGTTGGCCAGACTGGTCTTGAACTCCTGACCTTGTGATCCGCCCACCTTGGCCTCCCAAAGGGCTAGGATTACAGGCGTGAGCCACCGTGCCCGGCCTCTGGGCCTCCTTTACAAAGGCACTAATCCCATTCATGAAGGCTCTGCCCTCATAACTTCACCACCCAAAGACCTCACCTCCTAATATCATCACCCTGGGGTTAGGATTTCGATACATGAATTTCGTAAGGACAAAAACATTCAGATTGTAGCACTGTGCAAATAACTTAAACAGATAGCAGGACAATATTACAGTTACGATTGATCTGTTTGACAACAACATCATTATTAATTCGTGTTTCTGGTCATGGAGCCGCATCCTTCACCGTGAACATCACTGGAGGCAGGGGCTGGCGATGCGGAGCACTGGAGCAGGCTTCTCTAGTGGCGGGAAAGAAATGCTGAGCCCTGTGGGGATTGGCCCCCTGGTTTCCCGTCACTGAAAACTTTCTATCCTTTTTAAGATGTTCGAAACAACTAAAGTCACAGCAATCTAATGCTGTGTTGACTTCTCAGTATCAAATCTTCGATAAACTTGGGAAAGTAAGTTTGTTCTTTTCCAATTCAAGAGAACATCTGTAGGCAAAGTGCCAAAATGGACAGTTTGCAATCTTGTTCTTTTGCTCCTTACTCTTCCATCCATGTGGATTTCTAGACATGATATAGATACATTTTTCCAAATGGAGCAGATGAGATGAGAAATATTTTATTTTAAATGGAAATACCTAGAAGTTAAATACCGGTTACAACAAACCGTCTTTTGTCTTCAGAGTATCTGTTATTCCCCCATATCCTCCAAAGAGCATCTACAACAGCACGTCTGTCTGCCTCAGAAATGCAGTCACGTGGGTGATGGGATGGGAAAAAGGTTGTATTATATAATCAATTAATTTACTTACCTGTTATTGACTGGAAATAAGCACAGTTGAAACAAAATGATATTGAGAGCAAGTTGGATTGATAAGTAAACATTGTGAGCCCTTGATGCTCCTCCTCAGGACTTAAGGAAAAGTTGCCTAGGAATTTTGTGGCCAAGCAATTTGGAAATCTATTTTATCTACTTGGGTTGCTGCTTCTAACATTCAGCTGATGCGCTACGAGTTCTGCCAAATTATTTAGGCAGCATCTCTCTTTAGAAAATGAAGTCAGTGTTTAGATGGCATTTAGTCTAACCCCACTGGTTAAAACTGAATTGATCAAACTCAATTTAACGTTGTCCTGCTGGTGTTTTTCTAAAATAGCAAATAATTGATTTTTGCACTAGAAACATATTGTTCAGGGCTTCAATATGACTAGTGATGAGCAGACAAGCAACAATAAGGTGAAGTTTTGATTACACATGTGATGCCCAACACTTCAAATTTTATCCGTTTTAAGTTTCAGGATGAGATAATAGATTTTTCTTAAGTTGTATCATGATTGGGTGAGATAATTTATAGAAAGCAGAAAGAGTGGTTCAATAATTGGATGAGAAGATAATCAAAGGGCATAGATAATAATAGTAGAGGAAGAAAATAAGAGATTAAGTGAATGTTTTCAAAAATCAAAGTTGAAAATAATGGAGACATAAATAGAATAAAAGTGCATTTGCAGTGGATCTATGAGAAATTATTTGCCTGCTATTCAAAAAGATTATTTGCTGTCAAAATTAATTTGGCTATTTTTCCTATGGTCAAAATAAATTAAACTTTTTGAAAAAAAGCTGAGGCTGATCTGTGACAAAGAAGATCCAAATGGCTTGTGGAACTTAATCCCTGATCTGCTTGAGCTACAATGTCACAAAGCAGATAACTGAATAGTTTTGCTTTCATTCAGATACATGCTATGTTTTAGAACAAATCTGAGTTTTCAGAGAAGGCCTCCCCCAAATTAACAAACTTCATTTTATACTTAGCAGTAACTGAAGCTTAAAGTTGTATCATTCCTAAAGGGAGATCAATTATGAAGATTCTGAAGATAAGTGGAGGGGGGATAGCTCTGTATTTTAAAAGCAATATCCAGGCCTTTGCTTAGAGGTAGCTTAATAAACCATTCTTTAGTCCAGGAGTTTATTAGAAAATGTAATTTAAAAATAACATTGCCATGAGCTTGCCAAAAGGTAACTAATTGTAAAACCCTTTCATTCATCAGAGGTGGTGGTGGAGGTAGGGAAACAAATCCAGCGTGTAAGAACTGGCGAGTATACACTGTGAGCTTCGCCTCAGGATATAATGGGCTCTGTAATGAGAAAGAAAACAAAGTTGCTCTGTATTTTCTCCAGATAGCACCCTAGATCTCTAAAACAAAGGGTTTTTCTTGCATAGCATATATTAAATATATCATAACTTTAGATTTCTGGTATGGTAATAAAAATGCCTTACAGCACAGAAAATGCTTTAAAACCACTTTATAAAGAGCAATATAATTATATAAATACCAATTTTCAAGTATGGTATTTATTATCATTTGCATAATATGTTATGTTTAAGACTAGGTTTGGCCAGTGCTTTGTGGGTTTAAAATGACAACTCTTTTATATTTAAACAACTTATAAAAGTGTCCTTAAATAAAGATACAATATAGGTTGGAGAGAGTCTGTGAGGAACCCAATGCAGAAGAAGGAGTTCAGACAAACCATATCCTTCTGAAATTCATGTATACAACACTATAAATTAGAATCTCACCTTGATAACTTCTGTTTTAAATTACAACTTCTTTTTTTAGTTTTTCTAGAGTAGTGTTATAAAGGGCTAGCTCATCATACTATCTGTTACTTCATCCTAGCATGTTGGTACAAGAAAAAAAAAGAGAGTTATAACTCCTATGACTGGTTGCCTACTTGATAATAAAATGAATGTGTAAGAAGCAGCCTAAGGAAGAATATTTTATTAGATCAATTAATATTGTAGAGGAGTTTTGTTCCTGGGTTAATCATTGGTATGAACTCTTAGCTTATAGTTAAGGTTTGGGGCGAGTCTTAAAAATGACTTGGAAAGGACACCTCTGTTCTTTATTCTCTCTCAAGGACTTTAACTCAGAATTATTCAATTTGGCACCTGGAGATTTCTCAAGTAACACATTAGCCAAAGAAATTGTAGGAAGCGTTCCTTTTGAGGGTGTTTTCACTCCTTTTTCCTAGAAATTTTTGAAGATGAAGAAACACAAGAACAGCCAGATACCCTCTCAGTTGTATTAATCAGAGCTATTTTAAATTAAAAACAATATAAAATACAATTTAATATAAATGCAATCTAGATATTTGCTGCTCCCTCTAGCCCTTCTTTTTTTTTTTTTTTTTCTCAAAGGGTCACCTTTGCTAACCCATGAGATGGTCTTACTGAGGTAGGAGGCGGGGCTCAACTCCCAAGCAGTTTGAAGACTGGCTGAAATAAGGAAGAGGTGGAAGCACCTCTCCATAAGACAGGCCAACTCACCAGCACTGTGACAGTTTACCATTGCCATGTCAACACTCACACGTAACCACTCCTTTCCATGGCAATGACCCTGAAGTTACCACCCTTTTCTTGGAAAATTCTGAATAACCCACTCCTTAATTTGCCTGTAATTTAAAGTGGTTATACATATGACTGTAGAACTCTCCCTGAGTGGCTCCTCTCCACACACTGCCTATGGGGTAGCCCTCCTCTGCAGGAGCAGTCACCGAGCTGTTACACTGTGGCCTCAATCCACCTGTTTTCTTCTATTACTAGCTTGCTGTTGAATTCTTTCCCGAGTGAAACCACAAACCCTCTCGGGAAGAGCCCCAGTTTTGGGGCTTGCCTGACCTGCATCATTACTACCTAGTTTGTATGCATGATCTCTGTCCCTGCAGAATCCTGGCTACTGAATTGTGGCTCTCTGTTGATTGCAGTGGTACTAGTGACTCTGTGTTCTATGCTACCTGATAAACTCATTCCCCTCTCTTCTGGAGATCTGCAAAAAATGTGGTAGGAATGATCTCCTTCCACTCTTCTCTTTGCCTTACCAACCTTTCCATAGACAGGTTTGTGCAATGTTACAAGTGATTTAAAATGTGAAACTGACAAAGATTGTTGATCCAGCTAAGGGTTTTCAGACTACGATAGGTATATGTTATTGAATCATGGACAATTTTGTGGATTGTTACAAGTTTAGAAACATTAAAATTAAGAGACTAAAAAATATTAGAGTTCATTGTACACAGAAAGAGTAACTATACTTTTGCAAGATTTTTTGTTCCATCTGTACATACAGAATGTATTTCTTACTGTGGGTTTGTACTGGATTTAATAGTGTTCTCTCAACATTTATGTCCAATCAGAACTTGTGTATGTGCCTTATTTGGAAATAAGGTCTCTGTTGATGTGCTCAAGGTAAGATGATGTCATATTGGGTTAGGATGGGCCCTAAATCCAGTGTGACTGGTGGCCTTATAAGAAGAGGAAAATTTTGGACCAGGCGCAGTGGCTCACACCTATAATCCCAGCACTTTGGGAGGCCAAGGCAGGTGGATCACCTGAGGTCGGGAGTTCAAGAGCAGCCTGACCAACATAAAGAAACCCCGTCTCTACTAAAAATACAAAATTAGCCTGGCGTGGTGGTGCATGCCTGTAATCCCAGCTACTCGGGAGACTGAGGCAGAATTGTTTGAACCCGGGAGGCGGAGGTTGCAGCGAGCCGAGATCGCACCGTTGTGCTCCAGCTTGAGCAACAAAAGCAAAACTCCATCTCAAAAAAGAAAAAAAGAATAAAATTTCGACAGAAACACGCAGGGATGAAGACCAGGCATGCAACAGTAAAGGCAGAAACTAGAATGATACAACTGCAAGCCAAGGCACATCAAGAACAGATTCTTCCTCAGAATCCCAGAAGCAAACACTCTTCCCAACATCTTGATTTTGGACTTTAAGTAAGAATAAATTTCTGTTGTTTTTAAACCACCTAGTTTTGTGATGGCAGCCAATTACAAACTAATACAGGATTGTCAACCAAACTTTAGTCTATGGCCCTGTTAGCTTGGACTTCTTTTTAGTGTGCAAGAAAGGCATCTGATGTTTTAAAGTGTTCAGAAGACAGTGACACTCAGAGGCTTCTCTTGTCTTTTCCTGCATATCCTGCCTTTAACCGAAGGGCTTTGCAGCAAGTAAATCCCTTCTTCCATCTTTCTGTGTGACAACATCACACCCTTCCGTAAGGAAGAGGTACCACTTTTCAGTTACATCCTAATGAGGAGTATTTCTGTCTTCCATAGAAGAACATCTACTTCTTAATTATTTCCAGAGCCTTTCACTTTCTAATAGTGTCTGAGACTTTAGCTCAGCATTCACCGATTGATCATTTGTCCCCCTGCAATTTCCTGGGCTCCTGTTCAGTGAGAACTGGTAAATTATCCTTCAATTCTTTCAGCTTTCTCAGTAGAGAAAGCCACGGACTCACTAATTATTTTACTAATATTTATAAGGACACATCTCGAAGATAAGTATTGTTTTGTTTTTCAAAGATGATACACTGTAAATTATGCTTTGTTTGTTTGTTTTTCTCCAGCTTATCTATAGGTTTGGTCATGTCTCACACTAAACATCATAGATGTTGACGTCTGCCCTCTCTGTTTCCAGCAGAATCACACTATCTTGGATTAAATATTATTAATTCTCATAATATATCTGATAGAAGGCTGGGAGTATGAGGCAAAATACCAATTCTTTGCCACAAGATAAAAATAGAATGGTATTAAGATTCTGGTTGAACCTGGTTCAATGAAACCTACTCAGGTCTGATAACAGTATGTAAACACATGCTCGTGAATTAGAAAATACCTGAGAGAAAATATATCTAATTCTCTAATGAATTAATACTGCTTTTGTGGAGAGGAAGAAAAGGACACGAAGAAACCTTATAATTTAAAATCTAGGTTAGTATTTTAAATATTAGGCATGGTAAATATTTTGCTTTGAACTGAAACTTGAAAAAACACAGCTATTGTTGAAGACTTTCTTAATAATATTATATTAATTTAATATAGAAAAGGAATAGAAACGTTAAATCTCAAGAGAAACAGGTGGAGTAAAGATGCACATAATTACTTACTATTGTATAAAAAGAATAGTCTTACCTCTCATTCTATTCATATTTACTTTAAAATTATTTCCTGCCTATTATGTGCCAGGCTGTCTGTTTGTGCTGAAGAGGTAACTGTGAAGAAGACAGGTGAGGTTTCTGATCTTTTGAAGTATATAGTTGATAAATGTATCCTTTTATGTTTTAACATTAAAATCTCCTGAATTTTAGTGTAAGAGCTTTGCATCTCAGAGATATTCTATGGTTCATATATTAATTCTGACCTAGTTTGACATTGTGAGGAATTCAACTTTCTTGGGGAATGTTGATAATAGGGACATGACCAATATGATTGTGTGATTTGAATCAATATCAGGACTCATAACCCATTCATATTAGCTACATCCTTTTAATTGGTTTAATAATTGTGAAAGAAATACTTAAATGCTTAGTGATTATAAAAATGTGAACTAATTCAGGAGGATATGCAATACATGTGTGCAGTTCATTTCTCTTTACCCAGTTGCATTTTCTTCTCCAGGGATCTTTCATGAAATCATGAGTAGTTCTAGCTTGATCTTTTATAATCACTGTATGGTATTCCAATATAGAAATATAGCCTGATATATTTAAACATGTATTATTTAAAATTCTACAATATTATAGGCAATTCTATAATATTGTGAATGATATTACGGTGATCATCCTTGTATGTATATCTTTGCACACAAACGCTCAGAGTTTTAGTTGGCTATATTAAGTGGGATACTGAGTGACAGTCAGTAGATTTAAAATTATGATGGATGGTAGTACCCGCTAAAATACCCTCAAACTTTTAGACTAAGCAACAACATGAATACTAATTTTCTTACAACTGAAGAAAACACTTATTATTGCATGCTTTTAGCTTTTGAGATTCAAATGAGTAGTGAATAATTTATTAATTTGTGTTTCCCTTATTATCGATATGGCCCACAAGTGAGAAGGGAAATAAAATAAATTAATTCTGCTCAATGGAGAATCAGGTTGCAATGAATTTCATTCATGCTGATCCCTTAATGGGGAAGAGCAAGTGCTATGAAAGCTCCTCACTGGTGAGAGAGACAAACTCATAGGCATTACTTCTTAACAGTGCAAAATCCTACCACCTGCAATTAATTATAATTTGAACCTTGTATAGATTTATGTATATTTCTCACTTATTTTTGTTGTGATATTCTATTAGACAGAAACTCCAGGGCAATAAAAAACTAATCTTGCTCATGAATTTAAGGGAGTGTGATTAATTTTGCTTGCTGTGGTTCTCAGGTAGACAACCTACATTAAACTTTGAATGTTTGTTTCCGTTCCAAATTTTCTAATTATTTTTTAACTTCAAATTGTTGTTATATTTTATTATTAAGTAGCTTTCAGCATCTATGAATAAATCTTATTATTCTTACCTTTATTAATACTTGAAATTACATTACTTCATTGTTAAAATCTTCTGAAGTAAATTCAGGATCATTTTTAATAAACTGTAATCTTTGATTTACTTCTATTAAGCTTTGTTTTACTTCAAATTTTATAAAGTAGATTAGTTTACAGGATTTTTTTCAGGTTGTTTTTTGGCTTATAGTTTTCTTAGTTTGAATCATGTTTATAACTAAGTTTGTATACTGAGTTATGCAATTTTATACATTTTTATGCATTTATCTATATTAAACAAGTTAATGACCTAGGAATTTTTAGCTCTTGATGGTTTTCACAGAATGTCTCTGTGTAATGAATTGGGTTGGGTTATGTCAGGAGGTGTAGCACAGATTTGAATTCTTTACATTTTCTTATTTTTGGGGAGAGATGAAGTGGAGAAGAATTAAATCCAGGAAAGATTTCAGAAACCTTGGGGCCTTTGTGTGATGATACAGAAGTGTCTTGGAATAGCTGGAATCACACCATGCTGAGCCTTCTTGCTGACCTCATGGCCTCCTCTCCTGTTTCTGATAATTATTTTTCTCCCTTGTTTGAAGAAAGACACTGTCACTGTCTTGTCAGAGCAGTTTACCTTTCAAGAGGAAGTTAATTTTCCTCATGTCCTTTCTCCATCACTCCTCATTATCTCCACGGCTATAATTAGAATCCAATTCCAGTATGTGTGGGAGACCAATTATGAAGTCAAACATGTAGGGAGAAGGCTTACCAAAGGATGTCAGGATTTTGCTCATTTAAGGGGATGGGGTACAGGGGAGAAATGGAGAACACAGGGAAAATGTGCCCTGGGATGTTTTATCATGTAGGGAGGAAGGTGAATTTAGATTTGATTTAATGTATTGACATTAATTCACTTATCAGAATTTTTGGAGGAATTTAATTTATAATTCTATGATGTCTTTTGCCTGATTAATGAAAGCTAGACTAACATTTTTTGAACGATGGTGATTTGTGAACACATCCTTGATATAAGTTAGAGAAGGATGTATTGGACTTAAAAATAATTCAGAAATCTCTAGATTGGTGACACTAATGAAAGATTTTTTAGTTAAAATGGGCTCTGAATTTAAGTAGAGATGGCAAGATCCTAAGGTAGTATAGTTAAATAGCAGTTTAACACCGCGAGAGAGTGCTGCATCTTTCTACCCAGAACAAGAGCTTTTTGTTGGTTGGTTTTTTTTTTTGTTGTTGTTGTTGTTGGTTTTTTTTTTTTTTTTTTTTTTTTTTTTTTTTTTTTTTTTTTGAGAAAGACTTGCTCTGTTTCCTAGGCTGAACTAGGCTGGATTACAGTGACGTGATCATGGCTCACTACAGCCCTGAACTTCCAGGCTCAAGTGATTCTCTGACCTCAGCCTCTAGAGTAGCTGGGACTACAGGTGTGTGCCACCATGCCTGGTTATTTTTTTTTTCTTAATTTTTGGTAGAGACAGGGTCTCACTATGTTACCCAGGCTGGTCTGGAACTCTTGGGTTCAAGGGCTTCGCCCACCTCAGCCTCCCAAAGTGCTGGGGCATGAGTCCTGGTGCACGGCCAAGCAAGAGCTCTTGAGGAAGGACTCTACATTAACTTCCCAGCTGTAGCTTAAAATCTTCCTCCTGATTTTCTGTAAAAGAATCTGGCTTTATCAGAGTAACTACTAACTGAAAAAAGGACAATGACCAATCATTTTGGTGACATTAGTTCTAAAAAATTATTATTTTCTTAGAATCCACTTCAGTCATTTTATGGACGGAAAACCTATAGACCAGAGCTGTCTGACAGAATTTCAGTGCAAGTCACATATGTAATTTTAATCCTAGTATACACATTAAAATATACAAAAGAAACAGATAAATTAATTTCTACCCCAGGGTGGGTGGAAAACCTTGGTAGGGGAATCACAACACTGGCTTCCTGGCATTCAGAGCAAAGACAAGTTCTCTGTTTGCCTCCGGGAAATAACTGTTGATCTTGACAGATGGTACCTGACAATGGCACACATAGGAGACCGTTAAACCTGACATATCCATTAAGAGCTGGACATTATGTAACCAATCTAGCCACAAAATTGGTTTGATTCTTCCAAGAGTTAGTGAAAGTTGTATATGTGCCACTGAACATATCCTAAAATCACATGTACGTTTCATGCGTAGATAGTTTATAATCCCAAAATACCATCTTGCTACCTTGTCATATATTCCTTTTTCATGGTTTTATGTGATGCTTCCTATTACTAGTTGACTAAGAAGGAAATAATTCTGAGTTTGGTTTGCACAATATGCTGATACCATTTAAAAATGAAACCCTGCAATCTCAGACCATGTGACACCTAAGAACTGTAGAAAAAGGAATCCTCTTAATAGATCTTATACTAGAGAATCTTATCTACCTTGGTACAGACAAGAGATGGGCTGAGCTAATGGTATATATTAATTCATGGTCTATTTAATAGAAGAGATAGCCTATTTATTTGGAGAATTGCTAAAATGAGGTTTTGGTAATATATATGCATACAAACCTCTGGGATAAATTCAGAAAATGTGTCCTCTGTTGTTAGTCATTTATATAGAAGAAGCTTTTATTACCAGGTGAGTAAGATGACCTGCTCTATGGATCATCAAATTTATATCTGATCAAGGAACTTTATGGAACAGGAAAAAGGGCAATGAACAAATAGTGTTCTTAAAAGTATCTCATCTCACAGAAACAGTGGGCCCCACAGAACAATGAGGGTACCTCCTCATGACACTCTTATAATGACAAAATGGGGAGAACCCCTGGAGCTTTTACAAGCAGTAGCTGCTCTGCAGAAGGCAGTGTATTTTCTAAGCTACTCATTAATATCCAGTACTATTTCCTACAAAGCTAAGCCACCTAGGACTGAAAAGTCAAGAGGTAAAATTGAGTGTCGTCCTCTCACTATTATTTCTAAACGGTTTTTACTTTCTAGTTCCACACTCCTCGGGATTGATGGTTAGAAATGGTATTATCCAAGGAATGAATGCTTCTAATAGATGACCCAATTTTCCGTCTTTGGATTGAAGGTTGTAATTGTTTCCCAAGTATTTTAAGGTCCAAATGATGTGGACAAAGAAAGGGGTCAGCGATCTTGCTGGGTTATTAATTGTGACTTTAGTGGAGAAAGATAAAGTAACACAGTAGGGGCAGGGAGGAGCAAGATTGGAACTGAGAAGATGTCTTATGTCCAGAAGTTACATATAAGACAACTGTAAACCTGTATAGGTAGGACTAATACGAGCTCATATTTCTCAGAAAAAAATATTACCATCCCATCTGGAAGAGAATTTCCAATTTCTGTGGTGCTAGCTTAAAGCATACCAAAAATAAAATGGAAAGCAATTATAAATTTTAAATATCAGCTATAGTCTTGCCACTAGCTGCTCCCAAAAAGTAATATACTATCTATTAGTATTTTATTCTTCTCTGTAACATGAATATAGATATGTTTTAAAGTTAACTTTCATTTTCTTTATTTTTCTTTCCCAGTATTATTGCATATAGAATTTGTTTGTGGAGATTAATTATAAATTTTGGTCTACAAATAGCTGATTATCGAGGCAGAATTACAAAAGAAGCAAAAGGAAAAAAAGACATCATTTAAATATTCTTAACTTGCAGCTGATAATTAAAAGATAAAAACTTGAATTGTCTTTTTGAGGAGAAAATAGGAGTGTGTTTGGGGCTACATTATACAGAGTTGCACTAAGTTAATTAGGAGATTTTGACTTTTTTATTACTGAAGAAGGGTGTATGCGGATACTAGAACAATATCTAGAATATAATAGTTTTTCAAAAATATTTGTTGAATATAAATAAATGGTGAGCTGCCAGTGAGATTGATTGTGACGTAATTTTAATTTGGAAAAGATTTTGGTTTATTAGCGTCTAAATCTCCTTCCTCTTTGAGAATACTTGCCCATTTTGTATGAGTCTTGGTGACAGGTTGGGCATGCCCCTAATGAAACTTTCATTTTGATATTTCAAATTCAGTTTTTCATCAATAAAATTTAATCATGTGAAGTGATTAATAAAACTGATAAGTCCCTAGCAAGATTAACCTATTTGGGTGTTATTTCACAAATTCTGAAGATCAGGAATGATAGAGGGGTTATTACTACTTGGCCAGCTGACTTTAAGGATGAATAAGGCATATCATGAAAAGTTTTAGGCCAATAAATTCAAAGATTGAATGCCGTTCAAAAAATTCTTGAAATACACATCTTACTAAAACTGGTACAAGAGGAAATGGAAACTTTGAGAAAGAAATTGAATTACACATTTGTAAGTTTTCCATGAAAAGAATTCCAGGTCCATATGGTTGCTCTGGTGAATTCTGGCAATTTTTTTTTTTTTTTTTTTTTGAGACGGAGTCTTGCTCTGTCGCCCAGGCTGGAGTGCAGTGGTGCGATCTCGGCTCACTGCAAGCTCTGCCTCCAGGGTTCACGCCATTCTCCTGTCTCAGCCTCCTGGGTAGCTGGGACTACAGGTGCCCACCACCACGCCCGGCTAATTTTTTGTATTTTTAATAGAGACGGGGTTTCACTGCGTTAGCCAGGGTAGTCTCGATCTCTTGACCTCGTGATCCGCCCGCCTTGGCCTCCCAAAGTGCTGGGATTACAGGTGTGAGCCACTGGCCCCGGCCGAATTCTGGCAAATTTTAACAAAGAGTTTATTCTAGTTTGATAGAAACTTTTTCAAAGTCCAACAAAGATATCCTTGACAAAAGTTGTATTAGGCTTCCAGGTTGTTTGCTGTATTGTATATTAAGACAATTTTTAAAAATTACTCTGCTTAAAAAAAAACACAACAAAATACTTTATTCATGGTAGATAGTAATTTTTTAATGATTTTTTTTCCTCTGGAGATCAAAGGATAGTTAGTCAGATTGCCTTATCTGAATGTTTTTAAATAAAATCCATGGATTGACATGATATTTTTAGGAATCAATGAGTATTTGATAAGGTAGACCATAAACAGCATCTTCTTTGGACAAACTTCAGGAACTCTTTTTTTTTTAATTTTTGTAATTTCAACTTTTATTTTAGATTCAGTGGGTACATGTGTGTGCCAGTTTGTTACACGGGTATATCGTGTGATGCTGAGGTTTGGGGTGTGATTGATCTCATTACCTAAGTAGTGAGGATAGTCCCCAACAGTTAGTTTTTCAAACGTTTCCCTTCTTCTTCCCTGCCCCTTTTAGTAGTCCTCAGTGTCTATTGTTGCCATCTTTATGTGAATGAGTATCCAATATTTAGCTCCCACTTATAAGTGAAAACGTGCAGTATTTTGGTTTTCTGTTGCTGTGTTAATTCATCTAGGAGACACTCTTTTTTCTTAAAACTTTCCTGAAGCTAAGAGAGCTGGCCCTGTCTTAGTTTTTCCCTTCTAGTGTAAGCACACATTCATTGCTTTCTTTAAAAAAAAAAAAAAAATCTTCTCTGCCTTATTCTGTCCACTTGAACCATCTTTCCAAGCTGCCCATTTACTCCAACGACTTTAGAATGATTCCTCCCAAATTTCTCCTCCGAGTCTTACATTTTCATCTGGTTTTTAAGCATATCCCTTATCTGCTTTTAAGACACTTCCATTAATGTCTTTTTAAAACTTCAACTGAAAAGCACTACTTAATTTATTTATTAATTCAGTAAAAATTTACCAGGTGTTTACTGTTAGACTTCTTACAAGGAGATTAGAAAATAAAAGTATATCATTGAAGAACACGTATTAAAGTAGTTAAAGTGAGATACGCGTTGCAACTGGAAAATACAGTAGTATATCAAAAATGGATTTCTCAACTTATTTTCTTATCTTTTTAATGTCATTGACACCACCATTCAACCCTATTAAAACTGAATTTGTATGAGAGTCTCTTTGCTTTTTATTCTACTTTATACTCAATTGTTACTGAATCCTTTCAATTCTTCCTTTTTAATGGCTTAAATTTCTCTGTTTTTCTATAAACATTTAAAAATTTTGCTATAACATAAAAATATTTCATTTGTATTATGTTGTTAAATTAACACCTACTTAATATAAAAATTTTCAGCAGTCACTGGTATGAAAAGGGAAATTTGTCTCTAACACTCAATCTGTGAGTCACTGTTAATTATTTTATTTTTCTAGTTAATTGTAAGTTTAATGAAATCTATTTATTTATATATACATGAAAATCTGCTATACCTATTGTTTCTATTTGCTTCTTTAACCCAAAAATTTGTGTATAGTAGATATGTGAATACATATAAATATATTTTATTCTGTTTAAAAGTTATAGTTTTTTATTATATTTAAATAAAATATATTTAGCCCATCTCTGATTGATATTTCCAATATTGCAAAGTTACAAACAATCAACATCCTTTTCTTTACATTTTTGTATATTTGATTTTGATTCTATAGGATAGTTTCTAGAAATAGAACAGAAGATCAAAAAATTACATATTGAAAATGTTGAGTATCTTGCCTATTATAATTCAAAATGTTGTGAGGTTTATTTTCTTACAAAGCATGCATAACATTCCATATTTTCCACTGTCCTATCCATCACTACATACTATAATCTTTGAACTCTTTCCCATCTTGAGAAAAAGATGAACTATTATTGCTTTAATTTACAGTTTAGTTGATCATTAGTAGGCTGAGTTTCTTTTCATGTGTTTTACGAGCAAATACAAGTCCTTCTGTGAACCCAATGATGTAAACTTGATTAAGCAGTAACTGGGTACTACATGTGCAAATTTAGAAATCATAAAGCTAAGAATCTACACTAATTCTCTAAAGCAGCTATCCTCTGGCAAGATTGAAGGGGTTATATATCAAAATTACCTTAGTTTTCCACATATGCTATGCCAGACTTTTTCATCCTCCTAGTGTCTTCTCTGCAGCCCAAGCTACCCCATATTCATTAAAACAGCAGCTAAGCATTAGGGGTAATACCGTACCCATATATCATATTTCCTCTTTGTATAATAAGAAGATGCCTTTCCCCTTAGTTTTATTAAGAGATTGGTGATTTTATGAAAATCTGTTATCTGCTTTGTGTTTTCTGTCCAAAGTTCACTAATACCTTTGGACCATCGCCTGACCATCACCAATCAAAGCACATCCCAAATCCTTCCTTGATTCTCTTTCTGTGCTTTACCCTCACTCCTTTCCCTTCTCCTTGGTTTTATCTGCTTTTTTTCTTGTCTTTTCTGTGAAACTCCCCTAGATTGGTCCAGTCTATAAGCATTTCTCCCTCTATATTTTTATAGAACATTTGGTTTCACCTGCTGCCTTGGGACATTTTTCATCTTATTATATTGAATGGTATTTTTTCCTATATTATTAGGGATCTTTAGAATGTTTAATGCTGGACTCCTAGATATTTTGTATTTTTTCAAAAGCAGATTGTCTATTATGTTTCATAAAACACTGTCACATCCTCAACAACCATAACTAACCCTTTAATGAGAATAGAATTATAATTCTCAACCTTTCTTTAAAAATCTATTGCTATCTGCTCACTTGAACAGCTTGTTCCATCTATTTACCACTTAGCTCAATATTTGTAGTTTTTGCCACAGTAGTATTTTCCTCTCATTCTTTCCTACTGGGATTGACTTAGGACTTCATGTTACAGAGAGATGCATAGAAGCATGATTAATTAATATACTTCATCTCCTCGGCCAGGATAAAAGCCGTTTGCATATAAACCAGTGGTTCCTGATACTATTGTCTTCTCTGAATTCTTCTGAAAGAGATACTGAGAGATATTCATAGGACCTGAAAATAAGAGGTTAGAAAGATGTGTGTCTTGTCGCTGGCTTACGTTCTCACCTTATGGAGATAGCTTCGCTGAGAGATGGAGTGGTGGAGACTGATGATAACATTTGAGCCCTAGATCTCGCACCTTATTTATATGAAGCAATAAATTTCTTTGTTTATAAAGTAACTTTAAGTGTGTTTCATCCACTTAGATTTATCAAAATTCTGCCAATACATCTTCTGTCTTTCATATGTCTTAAACAACATTTTCTCTAGTGGTTTGTGTATTTCCAAAGCATATGCTTATTTGTGAGCACCTCTCACTATAAAACAAACAATCAAAAGCTCACTCTGGACTACGCTGTCCTCTCTTTCCTCCCCTCTCCTTTAAAGCTTCTTGAAAACATGTTGAGAGCTCACTGTGCACTCTCAGTGCGGATGGAGATTCCCCATCCGCAGTAATGCTGACTTCGCTTCTGTCTCTTCCGCTACTTTGAAAGTGCTATCGCTGAAATCGCTAATGCTTTCACATGGATGAATCCATTAATTATTTTTCTGCATTATTTATTGTTTCTGCTACATTTGGTATTGCATATTCTCTCATTCACACACCCAGCTTTCCTCTTACCTCCTCTGATACTGTTTTATTCTGGTTTTATTTCAGATCTTTTACTGGTTTATCTTACTCTCCTGGATTTGTCTACCTAACATTTTGACATTTTCAAAGATTTGTTCAGAAATCTTTAAATATTTTTACTCTATATATTTGCCTTATTTAGACCCATAACTTTAATATATATTTACCTGTTAAATATTTGCAAACTGAGGATTCTAGTTTCCAGTAATAGTGGGCTAGATGATTCAGATTAGCTAGTGTATTCCACTGAAAGCCTATAAAAGTGCCCAAAATAATAAAAATTGCCTTTCTTAAATAATCAAAGTCTTGAAGACATTATAGTCAAAGTCCTGAGGATCATAATTCTCACAGAAGATTTGAGGCAAAAACAAAACAGGAGTTCAAAAAGGTAAGCAGAGCACAAAAACTGTTATTCTATTAAGAACATTAAACATTTATGCAATGTCTTTATCCAGAATAGGATGTATAAACCAAGACAAAGGGTCCATATAAGATGGGAATCTAATAGAGACATCCCCCACTAACACCTGGGAACTCACAGGGTTGAACCAGAAATAAATCAGCACTATGTGGACTGGCAGCTGCAGTTTGCCTTGTCTGGGTAGGTCATGGAATCTCAAGTCAGAATTTGAGACCCCAGCACACTCACTCATGTATTTCACAGAAATACATATAAAACCTCTCTGAAGATATTTTCTTTATCCTAGACCTTACATTATTCCTATATATAATTTTTCAAATACACTGAGCTGCACAGTGTCAAAGATCACTGTCAAACAAGCACACAATCAATCAAAGCTTCATGAGTGAGACCCTATAGAAACAAGACAGCAGAATAGGTCCACTAAGTTTTCAGATATCAGTGCCAT
This sequence comes from Homo sapiens, assembly GCF_000001405.40. Classification (NCBI taxonomy): domain Eukaryota; kingdom Metazoa; phylum Chordata; class Mammalia; order Primates; family Hominidae; genus Homo; species Homo sapiens. The sequence goes on from NC_000007.14 coordinate 145,461,162, forward strand.
CAGGTATAGATTATAAAACAATTATGCTTGATGCGTTAAAAAATAAAATACACATTCAAAGTTATCTGCAGGAAAATGAAAACTATAAAGATGACAAGTTATATTTGGAAAAGAAATAAAACACCTATCAATTAAAGATGCAATAATAACCAAAATTAAATACTTGCTGGACAGGTTTAATGGCAGATTGAATGGGTGATTTGATCGTTAAAACCTTGACCAGAAGAAATTATCCAGAATATAGTACCAAATGCTTGCAAATGTGTACCTCTAATCCAGGCCAATATGTCCAATTGCTTTTCTAAGTGCACCCACTTGGGTGACCCCAAAGTATTTCAAATCACTACACCCAAAATTGAACTCATTCCTTTTAAAGTCTCCACATCTGATCCTTTACTCTCCAGATCTAATCCTTCCAATTTATTCCCTCTCTTGGTGTTTTGGACCAGTAATCTGGGCTGTATCCTTGTTATTTCCACTTCACTCAGCCCCAACATCCAATCATTCATCAGAACCTGTATAGTCTCAAGCACTGTGATCTCCTGTGCCTGTCCTCTGCTATCTAGCCCCAATAGTAGCTGAATAATCATAAACCACTTGATCTTTTACCTACAGGATTGCAGTGTACTCATCTATTAACACTCTTCTAAAATGCAAATCCAATCGTTCCAATTCCTTGTTTCAAATCCTTTAGTGGTTCTAGCAATGCTGGTGAAAACATCTAACCTTTAAGTGACTTATCTAACCCTGCCTGCTTCCTTTACTTCATTCATTGTCACTCCACACATGAATATTTGCTTTGGTCATACCGAATTATTCATATTCCCCAGATGCATCTTACTCTTTTTTGACTTCTAAATGGTTTTTTATTTTCCCTGAAACAGCTTTCTTCATTCATATTCCTATTTTCTATTAATTGCTTGCCTGATTTGGATGCCCCACCATTGTATGACCACTGTTCTCTGTAATTATTTATCACACTACATAGTAATCATTGATTTGTGTGTTCTTCCCTAGATTGGGAGGGAAGATTCTCCATTAAGGAAGATTCTCTCACATTGTATCACTAGCTCCATGCTCAGCACTTGGCATGTAATAGACACTCAATAAATATTGAATGAATACACATGTTCATTTGTAATAATATACAAGTAATATTATTTTTCTATTTTGCAGGTAGATATTTGGATCATAGTTCTAGCTGGTCTAACATTTTTATTTTATACTCTTCAGAGTATACAGATTGTACGAAGAACTACTGGAAGAACTCTTCAGAGTGTACAGATTGTACGAAGAACATGGTTTATAGCAAAACGTAGAGGATTGTTATTGTTTGAACATACGTGTCTCTCCATATGTGTCTTTCAATTTTTTTTTTCAAGAATAAAGTGGGAGCAGGCTGGTGTTGATCTTAGTCTCAGTATTCCTGGAGTGAGAGAAGAGGTGCAAGTGGCCCAAAGTCTGGTTGCCGTTTCCAAGGGAACAGCCTGGGAAGAGGAACAGGTGCAGAGTCAGCAATGCTGTGACTTCATTGTTCCACATAAGGAGGCTGGTTAGCAATGGACAGTTCTAGCTCGTCCTAGATAAAAACATAAAGCTGCTTGGGCTTAAGCTGACATCTACCTGTGTCAAGAACTGGGACTAAGGCCCCCTAAAAGCACTCAACTAGTTCATTCCTTTCTTCACTCCAGGGGTGGTTGGCTTAGCCAAAGCAGCCCAGCTGGTTTGCCAGGCAAGGGCCTCTGGGTGGAGACACCTGAGGAAGCTCTGGGACAGCTACATTACAGGTCTCCCATCCTCAGTCTTGGGGGCAAGAGGAGTGGAGGCGGCAGCCATTTTGGCCCATGTCTCTCTGGTGGTTCTAGCTCATACACGGCTAATGATTTATGAGGCAGTGTTGTGTGGCACTACCTAGCTGTTACTTTCTTGCCTACTCTGCTGAGTAAACAGGGGCCCTGTCTTAGCTGGGTTTGAAGTCTGTTCCCTAGGGAAGGGCACTGTGTCCCCGAGTCACCAGAGAGGAGGGGCAAGGGCATCTCCTGCTCTTGCAATCCAAGCTTCCTCCCCACAACCATGCCCACACCACATGCTGACATCAGCATGGAGCCTGGGGTGCCTATTAGCAAAGTTGAATTTTCCCCTGAGTCCTAGCAGGAGGCTCCCACCGGCTGGCACAGAGGCTAAGGCCAGAAAGAAAACACAGAGGGAGATGATCCAATACCAAATGTGACAGTACTGAGAGGTGGGGCCTTTGGGAAGTGATGGTCATGAGTGCTCTGCCCTCATGAATGAGATTAGTGCTATGATAAAGAAAGGTTGAAGGGAGTGAGTGCCCTACTCCATTTTGCCCTTCTGCCTTCCACCATGTGAGGATGGAGCAACAAAGCGTCATCTTGGAAGAAGAGCATGGGTGAGCCTTCGCCAGATGCCAAACCAGCCAGTGCCTCCATAGTGGACTTCCCAGTCTCCAGACCAGGAGAAAGAAATTTCTATTCTTTATAAAGAAGGTATTTTATGATAGCAGCAGGAACAGACTGAGACAAGGAGGAAAATTCTCAAGGAAAGATTCAGCATTAAAGTATGAGTATGATCTTTCATCTCATTACCCCTGCAATATGCATTTTTGGACCCAGAAATGCTAGATACGTTCTAAGTTTCAGAAGAGAATCTGTCACTTATCAGCTTTTCATATTTATAGAATTTTAGGGAAAAGGAAGCAAATGCCTAACTATGCAAAGTGAGAGTTTTCTAGTTGTTATGGGCTGATCGTGTCTCCCCAAAATTCGTATGTTGAAATCCTGACCTCTGGTACCTTAGAATATGACTATATTTAGAGATAAAGGCTTTAAAGGGGTAATTGAGGTCAAATAAGATCATTAGGGTGGGCCCTAATTTGATGTCACTGTGTCATAAGAAGAGAAACAAAGAAAAGGCTTTGAGAAGATATACAAGGAGAAAGTAGCTGTCTACAGGCCAAAGAGAGAGGCCTCAGGAGAAACCAAACCTGCTGACATTTTGATCTTGTACTTCTGGCCTCCAGAAGTGTGAGAAAATAAATTTCTGTTTTTAAGCCACCCCATATGGGGTAGTTTGTTATAGCATCCCTAGAAAACAAATACACTTGCCAGAAAATGACCTTATTATTCAAAGGAAAGTTGAAATTTTCGTTAAACACCTTGAAGCTCTTCTGTTGAGCCAGTTTGCCTGAGCTTACTCTTTGCTAGATGACCTACAAATGAGAGCCCTGGGGGCCACTGAACAGAAAAGGGTTAGTATCTGCCCTTACCAGAGTTACATGAAATACATTTTAATATAAAGAATAAATTATGCATATATATAAAACATTATATTTATATTATTTAGTGTAACATATATTTTAATAAATATTTGATTATCTTATTAAAATATATATTATTTTAATATATTATATGAAAATGCATAATTATAAATGTGTTATTTTAATATAATATATATTTTAATAAATATGTGTCACTTATTTTTTATCTTACATATATGAATCTAATAATGTTTTTGAAGTTTTCTGATTATTCTATAAGGAAATAAAGCTTTATGTTCATTTTTCTCTCATTTAAAAATTTTTATTTTTAATTTATATGGATACGTAATAGTTGTACATATTATGGGGTACATGTGATATTTTTATATAAGCATGCAACATGTAATGATCAAATCAGAGTAATTGGGATATACATCACCTTAAGTATTTATCATTTGTTTGTGTTAGGAATGTTCCAATTTCACTCTTCTAATTATTTTAAGATATACAATACATTATAGTTGATTTAGGCACCCTATTGTATACCCAATATTATTCCCTCAAACTATATTTTTGTACCCATTAACCAACCTATTTTTGTCCCCCTTTCCCCATTACCCTTCCTGGCCTTGGGGAACCATTATTTTACTCTATATTTCCATGAGATTAATTTTTCTAGCTATCACTTGTGAATGAGAATATGTGTTATTTGTCTTTCTGTGCCTGGCTTGTTTGGCTTAACATAATGTCCTCTAGTTTCCATCTATTTTGTTGCAAATGACAAGATTTTATTCTTATTTGTGGCTGAATAACATTCCGTTGGATATATGTACCACATTTTCCTTATGCATTAATTCATCCACTGATGAAAAATGAGGTTGATTCCATATCATGGCTATTGTGAATAGTGCCGTAATGAATATGGGAGTTCAAATATCACTTTGATATACTGATGTCTTTTCTTTTGGATACATACCTAGCCGTGGGATTGCGGAATCATATGGTAGTTCTATTTTTAGCTTTTTGGGGAATCTCCATATTGTTTTCCATAGTGGCTGAGCTAATTTACATTCCCACCAACAGTGTGTGAGCATTTTCCTTTCTCCATGTCCTCATCAGTATCAGTTTCTTTTAATCTTTTTGATGAAAGCCATTTTAACTGGCTGAGATGATCTCTCATGGTGGATTTGATTTGTGATTCTCTGATGACTAGTTGAGAATTTTTTCATATACCTGTTGGCCATTTGTATATCTTCTTTTGAAAAATATTCAGATCTTTTGCCCATTTTTAATTGGTTGTTCATGGGTTTTTTGATATTGAGTTGTTTGAGCTCTTGTTTGGCTACTACTCAGTTGAGTAGTTTGCAAATATTTTCTCCCATTCTGCAGGTTGTCTCTTCATTTTTTTGATTGTTTCCCTTGCTGTGCAATACTTTTGAGCTTGATCTGATTCCATTTGTTCACTTTTGCTTTTCTGGCCTTTACTTTTGAGGTCTTACTTGAGAAGTCTTTGCTAAGTCTAATGTCTTGTTTCCTGAATGTTTTCTCCTAGTAGTTTTATAGTTTCAGGACTTATATTTAAATCTTTAATTCACTTTGATTTTATTTTCCTATATGGTAAGAGATAAGGGTCAAGTTTTATCCTTCTGTGTATAGATATTCAGTTTTCTCAGCCCCATTTGTACAAGAGACTGTACTTTTCTCAATGTATGTTATTGGTACTTTTGCGAAAAATGAGTTGGCTGTAAATGTGCAGATTTATTTCTGGGTTCTCTGTTCTGTTCCATTGTCCTATATATCTGTTTTTATTCCGATGCCATGCTGTTTTGGTTACTATAGTGTTGTAATATAATATGAAGTCAGGTACTGTGATGCCTCTAGCTTTGTTCTTTTTGCTCAAGATTACTTTGGCTATTCTGGGTCTATTGTGGTTTCACATGAATATTTGGGGTTATTTTCTCAATATCTGTGAAGAATATTATTGATATTTTGATAGGGAGTGCATTAAAGCAATCTCAAAAATTGCTTTGTGTAGTATGGACATTTTAACAATATAAGTTATTCTAATTCATGAACATGGAATATCTTTCCATTTTTGTGTCCTTTTCGATTTCGTTTATTAATTGTTTTATACTTTTCATTATAAGGATCTTCTGTATTTTCAGTTATTTATTCCTAGGTATTTTATTTCATTTGTAGCTATAGTAAATGAGGTTCCTTTTTGGGTTCTTTTTTAAGATTGTTCACTGTTGGCATATAGAAATGCTATTGATTTTTATATGTTGATTTTGTATCTGCAACTTTATTGAATTTGTTTATCAGTTCTAATAGGATTTTTGGTGGAACATTTAGGCTTTTATATCTATAAAATTATATCATTTCCAAGTAAGATTAATTTGACTTCTCCCCTTCCAATTTGGATGCCCTTTATTTCTTTTTCTTGTCTGGTTGCTTTAGCTAGGATTTCTAGTGCTGTGTTGCATAACAGTGGTGAAAGTGGACATCTTTGTTTTGTTTCAGATCTTAGAGGAAAAGCTTTTAGTTTTTTCCCATTAAGTATGATACTAGCTATAGGTTTCATTTGAATCTTAATTAGTAATAAGGTTTTAATCTATTTTTAGTTATTATTCACCAGCATTTTTGTTCTTTTGAAATAGCATTTAAGTTAGGCTTGTTTGGTTGAAAAAGCAGTAACAGACCTTTGAGAAAGAAAAGAATAAATTCTAATGTCATAAAGACTGGAACTGGAAATATTTAGAGACAATAATATTTTACCAATTTCTCTGCCTAATCCTGATTTCTCTACAAATTTCTTACGCTTATTTTTTCTTCATAAATTTTGTTCACAAATGATTTTGGTTTTATGTGGCTTCTTTTCATTTTATTAAAAAAATTCAAACACACGTAAAAATAAAGCTAATTGTATGACGAACTTCCATTTACCATCACCTAGCTTCAACAATTATCAACTTTGCCAATACCGTTTCACATTCCCCTTATTTTATGTATGTATATATGTGCACACATTTTTCTGTATTATTTAAAAGCTAATCACAGTTATCATGTATGGCTCAGAACTTTTCTCTTGACATAACATTCATGTCATTATGAACACTTGGGAATTAACAGTAGTTCGTTAATATCATCTAATACCTAGTTGACTTAAATCACCAAGTGTATCAGAGAGGCTTTTGAGTTTGCTGATTTTTGCCTCATAGAGTTATTTTACTCCTCCTTTCTCATTAATTTCTATAGACTGATAGTAGAGCTATAGGCTTGATATATGGGCAAGAATTCTTTATGGGTGATCTTTTAGCATTACATCATTAAGATCATGATAAATGGTTTTAGCACTTATTTACATATTATTTTCAAATGGTAATGTATTATTTTCAAGTGGTAACTCGATCCTCCTTCTGTCTTTATTTGCAGAAATTGTGTGAATAAGAAATTTACTACATTAACCATTTGGCACTCTGCATTAAAACATAAGGGAAAATAAGCAATGAGTCAGTGCTCTAGCAAATTCAATGGTGTCCAATGATATTTATTTTTTTGGTATAATTACGTTATGAACTTTTATATACTTGTATTTCTATTTGGCATAGTCATTATTATTTCTTTCTGCTGTTTAAATTGTCCAATGTTGGGAGAGGGCTCTGTCAAATTATTTTTGTCCTTTTGTCATAACCTGATTAGACTTTTAATGCTTTTTCGCTTTCTTCATAGCAGGATAGCATAGCCTCACCTTTTTGCTTCTAAATATTTTCAGTTGGTAGAGTAGGCTATTAATATTTTTAAGAGAAATATCATTGATGTATTTTTTTCTGATACTTCCTCAAATTTAGGGTTTCAAGTTTCACTTAAATTCTTTGATTTTATACTTACATACTTTTTTCTCTTTTGCTGATTACCTTGGTTCTTAACAATTTTAACAAAATTATTTTTTTCTACAACCTACCTATTGCAAAGGCCTACTAACTCAAGACTATTCAATGGTGTTTAAGATTTTTTAAAGTTATTTGTATTATTAGGCTATGTTAATCTAGGCATATATAGAAAAATATTTTACTTTAAGCAATTTTTTTCTCTCCGTGATTTAAAACCATTGTTATTACATTAGATACACTGTCTCCCTCCCCTCAACAGTTTTGGGATTGCTTATATGGTTTAATTTTTGACACAAGTAAAATATTTACCTAGTTTCAATGTTAAAATAGTAAGTTATAATTCCATAAGACTTTCTTTTATCCTTGTTCTTCCACCTATTTTTCCCTTCAGCTGAAGGTAATTTGATTATGTTTGTATCTTTCCATACCAATACTTAAAAATATGGAAAATTAATTAGCAATTTGGAAGCAAACATTTTACTTTATACTATACACCTAAACAAATGCTGTAATTAGTGAATAGCAACATGTAAAAATAAAATTAGTTAATTTCAACAAATGACATTTAATGCTGATCAAGCTCTGAAAGAAGGAAAAAAATGAACCATAGAAACTTTAAAACAAAACAGAACAAACATAGAAACAAATACATTCTTTCAAAATAAATTAAATTACCCGGTTAAATGTTAAATATTATCATATGATTTTTGGTAATAAATGTGACACAATAAATTATAAGATATAATAGGTACCATTCGATAAGTACTCTTTTCCTGAAAATTTTAAAATCATCTTATTTAATACTCAGTACTCATAGTGTTTATTTTAGTATGGTATTTTATAAGGGAAGAAAGTTAGTCTAAAAAGACAAATTAACTGCTATTATATTCTCCCAAAATTCACATGTTGAAGCTCCAACCCGCAATGTGACAGTATTTGGAGATAGGACCTTTATGAAGGTAATTAAAGTTAAATGAGATCTTAAGGATGGGATCACCTGGCTTCTGGTTTCACGTGGTGGCTGGGCTCTTTCTTGTGGTCCAGCTATATATGGAAATCTCAGTTTAGCAGGTGCCGTGGCCCCATATGGAGGCTGGGGGCCTCTGCAGAGGCCTAACCTCTATGGTGGCTTCTTTCTTCAGAAGGAGCTGGTTCTGTGAGAGCGGGTGTCTCAAGTCTCATGGGTTTCTCATAAGCTAGGAGTTTCTTGAGATGGCCTGGCTCAGCTGGGCCATCCGCTTCAACGGAGTCTTTACATCTCCCATACCACAGTGACCTGGCTACCTTGGATGCTCATCTGAGGGCTTGATAAGGGGTCACAGTGTAAAGCCATTTTGGAAGCCTTCGTTTCTCCATAAGGAACCTTATGTTCCTTCTGTTGAGTGCTTGCAGTTGACTCTGGAAGTCTGAATGTTAGAAGACACTTTCAGGGGACACTTTCAAGAAGAAAGGCCTGAGGGGTTGCAAGTCCAGAGGTATGCACAAGGTCATAGCTGTGGCTCTGATGTCAGTCCTCAGATGTGCATCCAGGCAAGCAGTGGGAGAAAGTGTCCAGAAGATGCTATCTGACAAAAAGCTCTTCAGAAAGCCAATTGCAGATCTGGAGACTTGTCAGCCTTAATTATGTGAACCAATTCCTTATAATAATTCTCTAGATTCTGTTTCTCTGAAGAGTCAGGACTAATACACTTCCCTGGGGTTGCACAGCTACCAAGTGAAACAGGAGAGAAGCAAATTCTCATTCATCTGGCTCCAAATTTCATGCTCTTTTTTATTGTACGTTTTATAAAACACTTATTAACTATGTAAATAATACTGATAGTAAATAGAAACATCAGAAGAACAGGTCAGAAATAATTAAAAAAGGAGAAATGTGCACAGGAGAATTAAGATATTTTCTCTTTATTAACACAGTTAAGTAGCACCATTTAGTTCTCAAGATTCTGTCAACAATTATTTGTTGGAATCTGAATTACTTTTTAAAAATTGGAAATATATTATTATCTTGCTACTGATTGGTACTTTGTTTCTGGTAATAAACCATCAAGGAAGAATAAAACCAGGTTTTTTCTTTGCATTTCTGAATTACTGGTTAATTATAAAATATTCCCTGCCAGATGTGATGATTGACTTTCTGAAGTTAAAATGATTTGCAATGCAGAAACTTGAAATCACATGAAAAATATAAACAATAAAAGCACTTACTTTAAAAAAAAAACTTCCCGGCTGGGCGTGGTGGCTCACACCTGTAATCCCAGCAATTTGGGAGGCCAAGACAGGCAAATCACTTGAGATCAGGAGTTTGAGATCAGCCTGGCCAACATGGTGAAACCCGTCTCTACTAAAAATGCAAAACATAGCCGGGCATGGTGGCATGCGCCTGTAGTACCAGCTACTTGGGAGGCTGAGGCACGAGAATCACTTGAACCTGGAAGACGGAGGTTACAGTGAGCTAAGATGTACCACTGCACTCCAGCCTGGGTGAGAAAGCATGACTGCCTGAAAAAAAAAACAAAAAACAAAAAAATAACTAACAATACAGCAAATAAAGAGATGACAAATATTAATTGTATACATCATAGTTTAGAAATTAAGTCCAGTATTTTCCACTTACTTCCTTTAGTTTGTTTTATTTAATGCAGGCAATAGACATATGAAGTAATTTTATGCCTGGTCTTTCTGATTATAGATATGTCACCCTGCAAATACAAGGATTATATTTTATGTACATATCTTCCTTTCACAGGCCTATGACCCATGCAGGGTGGCTTAGCAGTTTTATGTTGATTTAATACCTCAGCCAGCTAGCACCTACAAAAAAGTGAGTTATGAATATTAGGCATATATTTTAGAATCAATAAATAACTAGTAAGCCTGTGAAATACAATGATAAGTACCTAGCCACTCTGCAAGGTAGTAATAGGCTAAAATGAAAAAAAACAAAACCAAAGCAAAAAAATACAAGAACGTTTGGCCAAGAGAAAAATTGAAATTTGAGAAGACATTTCTTACCATAAACATGGTATAAGAATTTCACTTATCTTAAGTAGCACAATGTAGTTAAATTAGGACTGAGGAATGTAAGTTACATTAGTCCAAAGGAAGGAAATGGTGTCCAACAAAAGGATAAGCCTCTTGAAAAAGAAGTTTTCTGTTCCGTGTGTTTAGGTAGTGGCTCAGTAACTCTGCATCAAGGTGACTATATGAGGAATCCTTATGCCAGATGATTCAGTGAACCTTGAAAGTTTACTTCAGCTTGAAAATTTACGTTACATGTGACATGATCCTATGTCATCATTTGAAGTCATTTACAGACAGAGGTCATTTACAAACAGAGGTTTTCTGTCATTTATAAAGATCACTGGGCCATACTGTTTTCCATTCTCGAGTGAATTGTTTTATTTAACTTAAAATATTTCATTCTGACGTCTTCTAGAATACAATTTTGTCCTTAACTTGGTTTATGATTGTTAGTATTTATTTAGCCTAAGTTCCCTGTTCCCTCCTTTCATCTCCTCTCCATCCCCTGCCTCCCTGGACCATCTGTCATTTCTTCCTTCCCAGGGAAAACACATTTTCATTTTACAGTTATAAATACGGGGAGTAGAACTGGACTGTTGAAACTGAATGAGACAGATATTTTTAATAGCTGTTTCTATACCAGAGAAAGGACTTGGTTACTCTCCTTCTCCCTCTAGACGTTTCTTTCACTTAACTGACTTGATATTGTATATATATTTCATCTGAGGGAAAATTGGAAAGACCAGGAGACAGGGCAGAAATGATGCTGCTGCCAATTCATCTTCACTTGCACTTTTTTCATTGAGCCTGTCACAGGCTACTGGGAAAAAGAGACAAAGCTCCAGAGTGACAAATAGGCCCCATGATTATTTTCAACAAGTCACAAAAAAGTAGGACAAAATATCTTAATGTTTTCCTCTTTCCTTTCATCTTTCATTCAGCAGAGGTTTGCTGTCATTTATAAAGGTCACTGGGCCTGTGAGGAGACAGGCAAAGAAAAAGTTTGGTCCATCCCTCAAGCAGACTTTTAAATAGTGACTATATTGAAATAATAAAATAAGACCTTGAAACTAGAATATGTCTGAGTCTTTTAGGGGAATAAGTTTTATTAGGCTACCCACAGTCTTCTGTCTACTCAGGGTTATTGGGAGCATCAGATAATAGAGCATTTTCATGTGGAAAGAATGGGAATGTGAAAAACACATTTTTTTCTTGTTTCTCTGTAGAAATAGTTGATTAGTTTCAGACAAGAAGTCCTGAAGAAAAAAAAATTCATACGGAATACTCTTTGGCACTTAAGGTGTGTACTGATTTATTTAGTAACTTTTTCCTCCTCTTGGGAGGCATTGTGAAGTAATACACTCCTCAAACTGTAAATGTGACTGAAGCTACATGAATAAAAGATAGACTGAAAGGAGTATCTATAGCCACTTAGCTACAGCCACTTTAGGCTTAGAAGCGGGCATCATACCTGAAGGATTTATACTAATTGAAGACTTTTAGAACATGAATTGGATGCAGCGCCTCCAATTTACTCCTGAGGTAAGCCAGGACTGTACTTTTACTGGAAAACTTGTCACGATAAATTCTTACCTGACAACATGATGCAGCGGTGACAAGGGGAAACAGCTAATGACTCCTTACTGAATGCCTGCTCCATGAAAGGCACTAAGGAGGATGGGAGTCAGAAAACTATTCAAGGAACTTCTAGTCATCAATATTACATTTTTCGTCATCTTACTTGATACAGCAGCATTTGAAACAAGTCAGTACTCTTCGTTCTTGCAAACTCTCCGTCGAATTCCAACACCACCCTCTTTATCTCCTTTTATTTTACCAGCTACTCTTTGTCAGTCTCTTTATTACTGGTTCTTCCTCTACATTTTGGAGCACTCTAGGATCATTTTTGGGATCTTGTTCTCACTTGACTGTCAGCCCCTGGTTGATCTCATATAGACTGATTGCTTGAAGTGCCTTCTACATTCTGACATCTCCCATATTGTCATCTCTGCCTGGAACTCCAACAGAAGCCTGACTAATCCTCATTCCCATTTAGATGTTATAGGAATACATAAGTAAAAATTTTTAAAACAGAGTGATGATTTTTCCCAACATAGCAGTCCTTCTTTCAGGCTTTCCTGTATCTTTTAAATGACACTTTATTGTGCTTATTTCCCAAGGAAAATCCTGAAATTCATCTTTGAAACTTTTCTTTTTTTTTACCACCCACTCTAATTCAACTCACAAGATAATCCTGTAAGCTCTGCTTTCAGTATTATATTGAAAATCCTAGTATTTATCTCCTCCTTCTACCTCTAGTACTGCCATTAGTTTAGGTCTTTATCTGTTCTAACCTGGTGATCAGCATGGCTGGGTTTCTTATATTCCTCAGATCTCAGCCTAGATATTTCCCCTCCCTTTTCACTATTAACAAACTGTTTGTTGCTGTTTTTATACATGGAGCTTAGTTAATACAATTTTGGAAAATATGCTTTTATTTTGTTTTATTTTATTTTGTTATTGTTACTATAAGACCTACACGGGTATAGACATCATTTCTCTCATTCACACTGGGTTTCCAGCACCCAAAGTTGGCCTCAAAGTATCTATTGAAGATTGTGAATAAGTGAATGGTCTAATGAGGATTTTTATAACTATCAACTACTTGCTTCATAGACTGAGCCATGGATACAGCTGTCAAATAGGATAGAATGCTTGATGTGTCCTCTTGATGTAGGTCTGCCTTCTTTTAAATGTGCATATGTAGAGGAAGAAGCCAAGCATTCTAAGAATGAACGTTGAAAAACATGAGCTGAGTCATTGGGGCAGAGAGGGCAAAGATATATGAGGACAGCAGATCGACAGACAATTAAAGTGTTTTAAGGAGAGGAAATTAATGTCAGAAATGTAGGTCAGGGCCAAGTCATGGATAGCCTTAAAAATCACCAACTACACATTTTATCATCTCAGCAGGAAGGGGCCTAGGAAAACTTTTAAGCAGAGCACATTATGAAAGTCATATTTTAAGATATTTAATCTGGCAATATTGGAGGAAATAAGTCTGCCTTCAGCAAAACAAGCCAGCTAGCTAGGTCATAGTGGGGTGGGAGGTAGAAAAATACGAATGTACATATAAGCAGAGTGAATAAAAGTGATGCAATAGGCATTTCCGACTAACAACTGTGTGCTTATCTAATAGGTTTTATATAACAGCTGGATGCAGGAAATAGGAAAGAAAAGCGGTAATGCTTACAGTAAAATTTTTAACACCTGGAGCTGGCAGAATGGCAGCGCAATGAACGGAAGACAGCAAGTGTGCAGCCAGTGAAGCCTGAATGCGAGTTCTAGCTTTCAATGTGCTGAACTTCAGGTAATCATAGCAACTAAGAATATCCAGGTGGCAGTTAATAATAAAACTCTGGCCCCTGACGTAGGATTCAGGTACCATAGGTTTTCAATAGAAATAATATTTGAAATGTTGAGAGTGAGTGAGTTTTCTAAAGCAAGTCTTATACAGAGAACAAAAATTTGAATTATGAGACCAAGTTGTGACATGCTGAGTCAGTGGGTGTAGCTGAACATAAAAACAGAATGAGAAGAAACAGTGGTCAAGCAGAAATCACAAAAGAGAAAAGAAGAAATGGTTTGTGTGATGATACAAAAAAATCAGAAGGAAAGTTTTTCAAGAAAGGAATAATGAAAACTACCAAATGGTTAAACCATCAAAAACAATAAAGACTTTTCAAAAAGTATTTCTATTTGGTGTCTGTGAGATCAATATCAATATTTCCTTTATTCTCTATGTTAGAGGAAGTTGGCTTAATATATGCTCTTAACAAGTGAATGGGTTTTGACAAAACAAATGCAATTGATATAACATTTGCAAGATAAATTTGTCAGTAAAAAAGAACAGAACTAATTTTAGAGCTACTTACCCAAATTTTAGAAATGAAAAGAAAACATAGATTACTTATTAATTTAATCTTCATCATTGCTGATGTCGTTTGGCTGTGTGTCCCCATCCAAATCTCAAGTCAAATTGTAATCCCCATGTATTGGAAGAGGGACCTGGTGGGAGGTGATTAGATCATGGGGGCAGGTTTCCGCTTTGCTATTCTTGTGAGAGTGAGTTCTCACGAGATCTGGTTGTTTAAAAGTGTGCAGCACTTACCCCTTTGCTGTCTCTTCCTCCTGCTTGGCCATGGTACATGGTGCTTGCTTCCCCCGTGCCTTCTGCCATGATTGTAAGTTTCCTGAGGCCTCCTAGCCATGCTTCCTGTACAGCGTGCATAACTGTGAGTCAATTAAACCTCTTTTCTTTATATATTACTCAGTCTCAAGTAGTTATTTATAGCAGTGTGAGGGTAGACTAATACTGTTGTCTAACAAATACACCAATATGTCTGACCCTAGAAGATGTAAATTTATTTGACTTGATATTTACTATTGATTATACAGATTTTCTTGTAATGTTTTTGATGTAATGTCATATTATTGATATTTGACAGTTATAAAATTATATATAAATTTATAAATAACTGATAAAGTACAATTTTTTTAATAAAGGTAATCCAAAAAGTTATGGTTTTTTTTCTTGGCTCTTCTTTTCTTTACCATTTTTGTGCCTAACCTAGCTTTCTTATTTCAACATTCTTTTTCCACAACTGAATATAAAATACAATTTTTAGAAATTTCCATTTAAACTGAATTTATGTCTCTATCATATTCTCATTATTGAGTTAAATAAAAGATTGCCACATCCTCACTATTCATTTGTTTGAAAATTATGTTTTAAAAATTTGAAAATTATACTTTGACAGTGACAAGTTTTTTATTTTAATTTCATTTTGTTGTTGTTGTTGTTTTTTAAGACTGGAAGACGTTTGCACATTGAAATATAAAGGTAAAAAGTGAAGAGATAACAGGAGATTCTATCTGGAAGTGAGACTGCCCTGACATCTAGTAACTAGCAAGAATGTGAGTTATACTCTATTATTAGTATAAGATAGATGGTCCAAGAACAAGCAAGTCCAGAAAAATGCATACGGTAGTTTAAAGTCAAGAAAAACACGCAATTTAGATAAGTCCTGGGGTGTACAGTCTATAGTTTTAGGTTTAGAATAAAAAATTAGACCAGAGATTTGTAAAACATAGTGTAGGCATTCACATGAAATAATATAACCATTTAAAGTACTTGATATTACCTGTCTCCTGGCTTTTTACTCTTCTTTATTAGTGTTTCAGATTGTTTGGACAGAGAAAAAATCAATAAGAAAGCAAAAAGATAACGGAGTAAGCTCATAGAAGAACCCAGAAGAGATAGGATAAAAATTTTAGTGTAAAAGTTCTTTCCCTGCATCAAAGGTCTAAATTAAGGGACTAAGTCAACTAGCCTTATGCCTAGACTTGATTTTCTTCATCTATCCAATAAGGGCATTGACATTGCTATAAGGCTTTTAAACCTGTAAATTTATTTAATTTATTATTCTAACACGAGGGTAAGAACTTAAGTATGCTCATGTTTACTCATTCAACAAATATATGTGTTATATCTATTATTTTATGCACCTTAAGAAATATAACATGATATAAAGGAAGTCCCCAAAATTTCAAAAATCTATTTTTATACATGAGAGAGTTTATGTATGACCTATGTATGAACTGTTTTATCAGTAAATTATAGGTTGTGATCCATTTTGTTCAAGCAATGATTGGAGAGTACAGCGTTGTGGGTAAAATGTGACAATGTTTCTATGTTGAAAGTGTTCTTCTGTTATCTAGACTTGACATAAAACAATGCTAGAACATGGTAGGCATTCTGTAAACATCTGCTCAATGAACAATTGCCTACATGAACAAATGGAAGAATAAAATTAGGAGCAAATTGTTTTTGTGTAGCCTTTATTCCTAGTTGAAACATAAAATACATAAGCAATAAAGAAGCAAGATAATTGCAGATTATGTTAAGTGCCATGAAAGAAATAGGTTGGTGAGTTAAGGTAACAAGAGGAGACATTGTCCCCCCAACTTCTACCACCCCCCTTTCACAATCACCAACAATGATGTATGGCCAGAAACCCAAGCAGCTGGGGTTTCATAACTCCTATTGTAATCAGTTATTGGCTAAGAGCCCCAGAGGTGGCTGCAACAGATATAAATTCCTAGGCACTTCTAGGTCTTTTAGCCTGTGGACAAAGCAGGCCCTCAGTCCAAGAGCTACACTCTTCTTCAGTACAGTAGCCCCTGCAAGCCTTTGGAGGTGAAAGCACGCTGAATCAAGGAAGAGGTACACAGAGATGATAAAGGGATCCAAAGGAATCTGGGTTGATAGTTTCCATTGAAATGGACAAACTTGTCTACAAGTATCCTTATTATCAGCAAATGCTCAGAAAATCCTATGACTTTGTGAGATATTTCTGAATGATATTGACTGTTAACACTGTCTTTTGAATTTAATCACCAACACAAGATCCCAGGTATGTAATCTAATCATGAGATGAAAATTATACATTTTTTTCTCTGCCATAACTTCATTATTGCTATTCTACAGTGCAAAGCAAAATTGGCCAAAGGCTAGAGGTGGCATTTTCTCTGATGTTTTAACAGTTGTAAATATTTTGTGGTTTTCTTTTCAGAGCTTTGAGCTATCTTCAATGTTTTTGTTTCACTTTATTATTTTAATTATTAAATATATAACACTTCAAATTTAGATAATACAGAAGGTACAATTTATTTTAATAAAATCTAAGTATAAGTGATGAATTATCTCTGTAGCAATTGGTACAATTTATTTCCAAAAAAAAAAAAAAAATGTAGGTATTACCTAGGTTTTCTTGTAGAATTTTTATAGTTTCAGGTATCTTAGTACAGAAAATCATAATGCTTATAAATATGTTGAAGTGCCGGGAGAGCAAATGTTAGGGTAAGTTGTCAGCTTTCCATAAATCCTGCAGTAATCCCAGGAAACCATCATGAATGATCTCGGCTGCCTATTGGAGGAAAACACCCAGAAAAATTTTGCAAAGCCTTACAGAGGGGCAGTAATCATCTTTACTTGCATTCTTCTACAGCTCACTCCATATCTTTCTTTCATTGGTAAACTGGGATCCAGCTGACAATGGATTCTGGGAAATATGAGTTCTAGGATTCTAGTTTCTGTGACACAGAGAAGGTCAATCAACAGAATAATGAATGCTGCTTGGCAAAACAAAACAGAGCAATATTCTGGACAGTTCTTCAATATCTAAGGCTTCATGGTGGATGCTGCGATGTGGCATTCAGACCCTCCTGGAGAAATGAAGGATTTATTCTCCCAGCAGCTTGGAGTGCTGATTGCAGAGCACTCTATGCTATCAGCTGTCTTTGGGAACAGCTGCAGCTGAAGAGCATCGCCTGGCCTAGGAGAACACCCCTTTTCCAGGGCAGCCTGTAACCACTGATGGATAAACGTGAGGGCTTAGTGGCTTGGCCTCCTCATGCCAACTTCTCACTCATTCCTTCCCTATAAGGTCAACTGAGGCTTCTGAGATTGTGGCACAATTCTGTATCTCCCTGTGGCCAACCCTGCTTTTTTTCTCTTCCCTTCCCTTGACTTTAAGAACATCACCTAATAAATCTTTTGCATATTAATCTCCATCTCTGGGTTGGTTACTGGGGAACCCACATGTGACAAACACTACCCTCAAATTTGGTTCATCAGAATTTGTACATACTCTTCTACCTATATTTAAATGACAAACAAAAGCGTAGATAGCAAACTTCTAAAGATAACTCAACTATCTTTCATATAAATGACACATTCTTTATCTAAAAGAAGAAAAAAAAATTCCTAACATCTATGTATTCACCTTGAAATGATGTTCATTCTTCTATTTTGCTCACAATACTTTTTTGTTACCATGTAGCTTAAAGACATACTTACATTTTTAAATCACTTTTACATTTTAGGTCAATTACTAAGGGAAAAGGGGAAAATAATAAGTATGCAAGCCTGTATGTGTAGATACTATAGTTTTTATTTCTGCAAGTGGTCACAATGCCACAGTTGATATGTATAATTTCCCTGTTCACTCTGTATTTATGCATTCTTTGTCTTCAGTCAGCATCACCATAGGCAATATTATTATTTTTAACAGATAGAATGACCCAAACCTGTCATTCTCATCCTGCAAGATCTCATCTTCTGGTTGTCGTATTAGATTATTACAATATTTTATTATACAGCCAATAGAAGTACTAAGGGGTAGACCAGAAAATCTCTTGTATTTCAGCATTGTATCCCTTCTCCCTGCTATAAAGATAGCCCCCATATTTCCAAGATATTCAGAAACAATCAATTTTTTCTTTTTTTTTTGAGTTGGAGGCTTGCTCTGTCACCCAGGCTGGAGTGCAGTGGCACGGTCTCGGCTCACTGCAAGCTCCACCTCCCGGGTTCACGCCATTCTCCTGCCTCAGCTTCCCGAGTAGCTGGGACTACAGGCACCCACCACCACGCCCAGCTAATTTTTTGTATTATTATTATTATTATTTTAGTAGAGGCAGGGTTTCACCATGTTAGCCAGCATGGTCTCGATCTCCTGACCTCGTGATCCGACTGCCTCGGCCTCCCAAAGTGCAGGGATTACAGGCGTGAGCCACCACTCCTGGCCAACAATCATCTTAACCAATGTAAGTATTAGCCAGCTTTTGCTATGACACCAAATACTCTTAAAACACTGTGATTTATAACAGTAAATATCTATATCTTACTTATGGTTTGAGAGTCAGCTGCAGTTCTGCTTGGCTCTGTCTAGCTTATATCAATGTGGCTCTGCCCCACATTTTGTCCTTAGGTGGAGGCTGATGGAATAGTCCCTGCTATTCCCAGGGAGGGGTTTAGGAGGAAGCTGGCCTAAGCCAATCTATGCATTCTCATTCAAGCGTCTAGTCCTCATGACAAGTATCACATCCATGCACTTCTCATTGGCCAAAGCATGTCATATTGCCAAGGCTCACATTAATGAGTTTTGTAATATGAAGTTTGCATGTTCTGCTTGTCTTTGTTTTACTGAAATTCAGTTTCTCTGTAAAAAACAAACTCATTTTCTTTTTAACAGGAAATTCAGCAAATCATTATTTTTATGAATTCAGTCAATTCACAATGATCATTTCTGTTGTCATTGGTCTCTTTTCTGCCATCTTGCTTTATCCTCCCCTCTTTTCATCTTTCCTGTTTTTTCCTTCCTTCTTTCCACCTCCTACATTCCTGCTGTATTTATTGCTTTGTGTCTCTTTACTTTTCTATATTAATTTGAAGTGAAGAAATGCTAATAAACAGCCAAATGGCCAAAGGTAACTCCATAGTGTGACCTTGGAACATATGACCTCATCAGTAGAGACAAAAGACATCCCTGGAGTACACAACAGGTTAAAGTCTTATCTCAGGACATCTCAAGACAAAACCTAGCTTGTGTTACATATGTAAAATCATATGTAACACAATTTTATTCAATTATGTTAATTATACAATCATAATGCCTAATGAACATTTGAACAATTATAATTCTTTGCATTAAATGTGATAGTAAATTTGTAAACTGTATTTGTAGGCAATACTAAATTTGGTTCACAAAACCTGCCCTAACAGGTTATTTTTACCTTACCACAGAGAAATAGATAGATAAAAATAGATCATTATTATAAAACTATTGCCAATCAAACTAGAGTCTCTGGTAAAGGAACACAGGCATGAGCATTTTTTAAGCGTTCCTAAGTGATTCAAAAGAGCACTTCATCTGACGTTCACCAAACTAGGTCAAAAACCCCATCTTATTCTTCATCCTTTCCTTACTCCTTTCTCTAAAGATGACAGATCAGATTGGTGAGTTTCACTAAGAAACAAAGTTCAGCCCCTTCTTTTCCTTCTCTTCCAGCCAGTCTGTGAGATGATGTGCTCTGATCTGTGATCTATCTCTGACAATAGGCCCACCCTCATGGAATTCTGGTTTTGTTCTGTCTTTGTTTTGGAAATAAATTGCACCAATTGCTACAGTGATAATTAATCACTTACTTTGTTTTAACTTTTTATTAGAGACAGGGTCTCATTCTGTCACCCAGGCTTGAGAACGGTGGCACAATCATAACTCATTGCAGCCTTGAACTCCTGGGCTCAAGCGATCCTCCCACCTCAGCCTCCCAAGTAGCTAGGACTACAGGTTCGTGCCACCATGCCTGGCTATGTTTTTATTTTTATTTGCAGAAATTATGAGTGATTTTATTTTATTCTTTTCAGCTTTTATTTTAGGTTCAGGGGTTACATACACAGTTTTGTTATATGGGTAAATTTCATGTCATGGGGGTTAGGTGTATAGATTTTTCCATCACCCAGGCAATAAGCACAGTACCCAATGAGCAGTTTTTCAATCTTTGCCCTCTTACCACCCTTGCCCCTCAAGTAGGCCCAGGTGCCTATTGTTTCCTTCTTTGTGTTCATGTATGCTCAGTGTTTGGCTCCCAATTATAAGTGAGAATGGGCAATATTTGGTTTTCTGTTCCTGTGTTAATTTGCTTAGGATAATTGCCTCCAGGTCCATCCATGTGACTGCAAAGAGTGTGATCTTGTTACCGGTGGAGGATGTCCAGGTTCTTGGCATCTTGAACAAATAATTGGACAAAACACACAAACAAAGCAGGAAGAAATGAAAGGATTATTGAAAATGAAAGTACACTCCACAGTATGGGAGTGGGCTTGAGCATAGGGGCTCAACAGCTCTGTTACAGAATTTGAGGGAGTTTAAATACCCTCTAGAGGATTCCATTAGTTACCTGGTGTGTGCCCTACGCAAATGAAAAGGATAAAGTAAAGTTGCGAAATCATTTATGGCTTATGCCCTATGCAGAGAATATTTCCTGTGACTGCTAAAGTGTGAATCAACCATATGTTCCCTGTCTCCGGACCCTGTTTTCCTGCCTCATTTTCCCCCTGAGAGATGTGATCCCCCAAAATTTTTATTGGAGTCAGAGGGACCAATGGTCTTTTTACTGTAACTGCTTCATGCTGGCTTGGGGCATGGTACCTACCTACTGGGGATCACGGACCTCTCTCCCTGCTCTGTCTAGTGGAGGCAGGGTAGCTCCTTGATGGCCAGGGTGGTTTCTTCACCTGGAACTGGCTGGAGCCTTTGTTGCATACTCATCTGAAGCTTGATGGTCTCTAGGTGAGAGGGAATGATGTTTGTTAAAAGATTTAATGGGAATTTCAGGGGTGTATACCTATGTGGTCAAGAATGTTTGTTATAGAGATTTGCAGGAGAAAAAACAAAAGCTGGTTTGTGATGTGTTCTAGATTCCACATGTTTTCTTAAAATCATAGCATAAGTCACTCCAGTTTAGTATGGTTTTGTTTGTTGGGGCCTAGTGCCTGAGCTCAGTCCAAAACAATGGCCTCCTATAATTTTGCTTAAAAAAATTCCCCCTTTTTGGTCAGGTTCTCACTTAGGTGAGAGTGTAACCAAAACTTAGGACCTTAGCACCACTCTCAGTTACCATCATTTTGGGTTTCTGGTCTCAGCGTGTCATTCATAGGTTATGGGGTCCTTATGGTTGCACATTTCTTTCAGTTCTTGTTATTCCAGTTGAAGAGAGACCATATGACATTCTAGAGATGGTTGCATGCAAGCATTTAAAACCTTTGAGAGAATACAACATGCTAGGGAGACTATTATTATGACCACTGGGAGGATAATACCAAGAGTTTGGAGTATGCACCTTACCCAAGGTCCCTATAAGCCAAACTTCCTAAAGTCAAGTAGATTAAAGAATGAGCTAGATAAGGAGTTTAATCACTTAACCAAGCAGTCTCTTTGTTAATCCCCTACCACTGAATTTCTATAATCTTCATTTAATGTATTTTTTCATAGGCCACAAGTGCCAGCAGCTGCACAGATACTTCTCTGTTTAGCCAATTCCATCATAACTTTCACAACAGAATTTAAAGACTGTTGTGTAACTAGCCTTTACAGTAGAATTTGCTAAAGAGCCCATCATGGGGAATACATTTCTAATCATTGCCTCTTTTACTTTAAACCATGGAAAAAGGACCTAACAAATGATGCCCTTCTAGAAGAGTAAAGGCCTCCTGGCAATGTTCTCTTTAACCCACGTTGTGGGTTAAGAGGAGGGAACCAATGTTTTGTTTTTGACTGATTATGAGGCAACGTATGTACCATTAAAGTTTCTTACCTACATTGGGCGTTTACACTTTATCTATCAAAGTATAAGTTTATCTATGTGTAAGGTTGGCTGCAAACTCCTTCACAAATAAAAGTACACCCAATAAGTGCACATAACAGACCCCTTTTTCACTTCTATTGTTCATAGAGGCATAAGCAAGAAAAATATTCAAAGATAAGAGTTTCATGATAGTAGAAGTCTTAATCTGTGAACTTGGGAAAAGCTGTTCACATCAAGGATGGCATCTTCCTGGGATAAATTTCCCTGGTTAGTTTTACCTTAAGGGTTCCAATGGGTGTACAGTTCTAAGAGTGTGGAAGGACCCTTCTCAGTTGCGAGATTTTGAACCCAAAGTTCATGGCCCCAAAGTTTCGTTGTAGTGTGGATGGCAAGGACAGTATTTCTCTGATGTTCTCAGAATATCTGAACCATAAAAAGCTTTTCTTAACCTGGTGAAAATACACTGTAGCATAATAATCTACTGTTATAACATCAGCCCTTTTGCATGGAAAAGCAACCGGAAAACGTGCATCGAAAATTACAATTGAATGAAATTTCTTTATAAAATGTTTAAGTGGCCTACCAGGTGACCAAATGTACCTGCAGCTTTAATTGTTTTCCCAGGAATATGGGATCAAACATTGATTATAAAATACTTTAGTAATTTGTAAGTTACCACACCAATGTACTCAATTTGGATTATTTTATCTTTTCCATGATGAGTCATGAAACGCAGAACTTTTCATAATAAAAGCTTTAAGGAATCAGAAAGACAGGGCGACCATCCTGGTTCTCCATGAGTCCATGCTCGATTAACATTAGACTTATATCCTCTTGAATACCAGTTATTTTCCAAATTACGTGCATAGCACTGTTAACTGATGGGATATCATTGGAAATTTGACTTAGACTGTGGAGTTTATTCAAATGACATATTTAAACAACTTCAGTATCAACTGGTTTGATGTTAAAAATCTGACAAAGTATTTTCTTGATATTTAATTAGTTTTTTTTTCTACTTGGGTTAGTAGCTTTATACAAAGCAATTTGGTTATTTCTGTGGTTTGCAATAACTTAACATAACAACCATAATTATAATTGATAGCATATACTTAGACATTAGGATTTTAAAAATCCCATACAATTTTGGAACATGTATTAGTATTATTCACAAATATATATCCTAAAGAAGATTGAACATCATTTTGGCAATCCCACGTAAATAAACATGTCAAATAATTCTGTTTATTTCTTTTCTGGATGTTTTCAGGGGCCTTCCGATCCATCCAAAAAGCCAGGCATTAGGAAAAACAATTTTGAAACTGAAGTTTGATTTTGGAATTCCAGATTACCATAGATTATTTATTTTGCCAAAATGGTGACTCAGAAATTTTAAAGAAGCAAAAACCTTTTATAACCTATTATAAAAAAATAAAAGAAAAAAATTCTGTTCTTACACCATGCATGTAAAACTGTTTCTAGTAGTCTTTTTTTTTTTTTTGAGACAGAGTCTCACTCTGCCACCCAAGCTGGAGTGTAGTGGCGCGATTTGGCTCACTGCAACCTCCACCTCCCAGGTTCAAGCGATTCTCTTATCTCAGCCTCCCAAGTAGCTGGGACTATAGGCACGTGCCACCATGCCTGGCTAATTTTTTAATTTTTAGTAGAGATGGGGTTTCGCTATGCTGGCCAGGCTGGTCTCAAACTCCTGACCTCATAATCCGCCTGCCTCAGCCTCCCAAAGTGCTGGGATTACAGGCGTGAGCCACTGCCCTTGGCCTATAGTAATCTTAATTTCATATTATAATGGCAACTCTTAGCAATTTTAATTTTAATGTAAAACCTGGTAAGTTATATTAATTAGGTGCTAGGCGCTGATAAGGTCTGATTATTTCCAGCAAAGCTAAGGGCGTGACCAACTCCACATGTCACCAGGCCTTACCTATTTGTAAAGCCTGCAAGTTAAATGATTTTCAAGAGCCAAATAAGCAGTTTATGACCTTAAAGCATTTAGCAAACCTAATATTTGAACATAATTTAGACCACATGTTTACATTTTGAAGACATTTGTATTTTACCAATAATCTTTATAACTGTTTATTTCCTAAAGATTACTAAAGTCACATGAACTAAAAGGCATGACACTTTTTACTTTTCTGACAAAATATTTGATTTAAACTCTTATGATTATTAAACCAATTAATTTAAGACTTTACAGAGGAGATAAACAGTGACTTTTACTTTTCATTTAACTGGTTTGCACAGAGAGAAAGAGGCCAGAGTCTGACTGGTGAGAAATTTTTACCCTTTTGCTGGCATGCCAGGTTTATGATTTTTTTCTCCCTGAGTTGCAATAGCAACCCTGCTTGACTGTATGCAAACAAACACATTGCCATAAATTAAGAAAAGTCACAAATAGTTTACAAATTTTGGAGAAATTAGGCAGAGAGAGAACTATGACTCAAATTCTTTTTACAAAATTATACTCAACACGCTTAAAGTGTCAGGAAGCCTAAAATCCAGAAAGTTAGTTTAAGGGTAGAAAGTTGGTGTGCTCCATTAATTCCTGTGGGCCTGGCAAAGGTAGCTTAGGAATTCCAGACAAATGGAATGAATGATGACTTGCTAGAAATGCATAGAAAACAAAATAATTATTCACATAACCAAATAAAACCCTTCCACTAGGAAGTAAAAATCATCATTGTTTTATATATATGCATACACAAGTAAAGCCACAAGAGAATAAACAGCAAATGAATAAAAACTAGAAGCAAAAACAAATAAACAGGAAACCAACCCTAAAATTTCCTACACAATTTACCAAGGAGGCTACAGTGTTTCCTAGGGCCCCCCGAAACCCACATAATGAATATTTTCTTCCTGATACACAATTTAATATCCCCAAGTTCACCACTATCACCATACATCCTATGCAACGAAGAAATTCACTTTAGGCACATGACCACTAAGTACTCCAGTGCCAGCACTATCCATGCAAAACAGTAAACATAGTGCGAAACAATGCAAGCATGTATGTGAAATTTGGCTCCACACTAAATCCAGCTTCATGCTTAACTATGTTAAAAAATTAAATGGCCAAACTGCCAATGCGTTTCTTTACAATACTTGTTATTTTTCTTTAATCAAAGCTAAGAGCTTTAACTATGAAAATGTTAATTAGCCAAATGTCTTCAATTCTCTATCAGGTTTTAAAGAATATTTTATTATTTAAACTTTTCCACATCTTTCTCCCCTAATGATTACTACATTGTTTCATAAATAACCTTTTCAAATCTGTAATTTGAACTAACTTTTAGATATCTTCTGAATTAAACAAAATTATTCTTTTTTTTTCACTAATAACACAACCCTTTCTGGCACATTTTGTATACAGAATTACATGTTAACTAGAATTATTTTCCTTAGTAACCTAAAACTTCAGTGAAACCCTAAAAAGCAAGAAATCCTGAACTATCAGATATGGGCATTTATAGATAAGAACAATTCCACAATTTTTAGAAACATATTTCTCCATATCACAACACTTTCTTAATTGGAAATGACCCAGATATTAAATGAGCATCAAAAATAACTTTAAGATATTAATTTACAGAAATAGTTTACCTAAAACATTTATACTCAATTCTTTCACTTTTAACAAGGGAGACATGAGACATCAAGTAACATAGGTAAAATGAACATTGACTTGGTGCAGAAAGGTGGGACAATTTGAAGTTGGAAGGGGGCTTGGGAGCTTTCAGGTCACAGGTAGGTGGGAGACAAACAGTTGCATGCTTTTGAGTTTCTGGTTAGCCTTCTCAAAGGAAGCAATCAGACCTGCATTTATCTCAGTGAGCAGAGGAATGACTTTGAATAGAATGGGAGGTTGGTTTGCCCTCACTGTTCCCAGCTTGAATTAACACTGACATTTTAAATATCTAGCAAACACAAAGATAAAATTCAGACAAAATGTATGCTGACAATTCTGATGGCATTTCTATTTTTGTTCCACCAATAATTGTAAAGCTAGCTTGTTTCATATAGTAATACTTAAGTCAGATGAACTTGAAAATTGCTTAGACTTATTTTCTTATGAGCGCTCTTTTACTTGTAAGCCAGTTTGTTAGACACAACATATAACAATAACTGTACATACAAATAAACACATCTAGACATGTATACACACACATAAATGAACATCCAGTAGCTGGGAACCTTAGCCATGAGATAGCAATACAAGCTTGCTGGCTTTACTTTGCCCAAATAGATAAGCCAATGAAGGCTTTGAGCCAAATTTTTAGGTAAGCAGTCTCCATGGCAGTTTAATTTTTAAAGGCCAAACCTCCCCAGACGCCAGAGAACACTGGGATCAAACAGTAACAAAGGAAGGCGTCACATGTTAACCAGGCCTCCTGCTTAGAATAGCAGCACAAAAGCCTGGGTACATGCAACACCATCCCACTTTCCCATTAGACAGTAAACTCCAGATTCCGAACAGTGTAGGGGCCAAGCAGCATTGCACCTGTGAGAGAAAATTCTAAGGAGGGCTTAGTACTAGACCTCAGAACCTCTGCTGAGAGCATCCCCTTTTGGGAGGCTGGGAGGATCCCCCAGAGCATCCTCCTGTGGGGTTCAATCTTAGAGTGTCAGACGTCTCTGACCTTAGGTGGGCACCGGTGCCACTTTGCATGCTTTCCCTCCAGAGCCTACTGTAAGCTGTCCTTTGGTACCAGGGCGTAATCTCCGACTTTTAGCATCCTTACAATTTGGTAAGGCCACACTTTCTTATGATTCCCATTCCATGAACTTTAATGATAGGAACTGGAGGCTGGATGGGTTTCTTTTGCCGTTAGCCAGTTGAATAGGGGAAGGGAAATTTAGCATGGGAAAAGAAGGTTTAAGTCACCTGAGACATGTGCGAGTTTGTTCCCAGTTGAGCCACATGTAGGGATCAGGGGCCAAACGTGGAAAAGATAAAATAAAGAGTCCTTCCCCATTCTGGGCGGGGAAATTATTCCCATTCATTCCAAGGCCTTCAGGCAATAACAGGGAGTGACCCCACCCAATTGCCCTCAATTTCCAAGGAGTTACTAGGAAACAGCCAGTGAAAGACTGAAAAAGAAAGAAAGGAAAAAAAAAAAAAAAAAAAAGACCCTGGTCCCTTAAGCAAACTGAGCAATGGGGGTTAGGCACCTCCACATGGAAACCCCTTTAGTTTCACTGGCCACAGCCAGAAACCTACAGTTGTTTTCCTCTTTAGGCACTGCCCAGCAAGGGTCACAAGTTGGAAAGGAAAAGAGAGAGCAACAGAGAGAAAGAGAGAGAGATTCCCCTGTATGGAGCAAAAAGGAAAGGATGAAGGAGAAAAATCCCAAGCTTTGGGCCTACCTTCTGGAATTTCTCCTGACTGGCTTGCCGAAATATGTTATTGATGGAGTGTGTCCAGTTTCTTGGCATCTTAAACACAGAATTGGACAAACTGCATAAACAAAGCAGGGAAAGAATGAAAGGATTTATTGAAGATGAAAGTACACTCCACAGTGTAGTGTAGGAGCAGGCCCAAGCATAGGGGCTCGAGGGCCCCATTACAGAATTTGTGGGAGTTTAAATACTCTCTAGAGGATTCCATTGGTTACTTGGTGTAGGCCCTATGTAAATGGAGAGGATGAAATAAAGTTACAAAGTCATTTACTTGGTGTACGCCCTATAGAGAGGATATTTTTTCTCACAGCTGAAGTGTGAATTGGCATTATGTTCCCTGCCTCCAGATCCTATTTTCCTGCCTCAATCTTGTTCTTCTTTATGGCTGTGTAGTATGCCATGGTGTAGATGTACCATTTTTGCTTTATCCAGTCCACTGTTGATAGGCATTTAGGTTGATTCCTTGTCTTTGTTATAGTGAATAATGCTGCAATGAACATATGTGTACAAGTGTCTCCATGGTAGAAAAATGTATATTCCTTTGGGTGTATCTTCGGCGATAGAATGGCTGGGTCAAATGGTAGTTCTGTTTTAAGTACTTTGAGAAATCTCTAAACTGCTTTCCACAGTTGCAGAACTAATTTACATTGTGACCAGCAGTGTATAAGTGTTCCCTTTTCTCTGGAAGCTTGCCAGCATGTTATTTTTTGGCTTTTAACAATAGCCCTTCTGATTGGTGTGAGATGGGATCTCATCAAGGTTTTGATTTGCATTGTTCTAATGATTAGTGATGTACAGTATTTTTTCATATGCTTGTTGGCCAAAAGTATGTCTTCTCAGAAGTGCCTGTTCATGTTCTTTGCCCATTTTTAAATGAGGTTGTTTTTTTGCTTTTCAATTTGTTTAAATTCCTTACAGATTCTGGATATTACACCTTTGTCAGATGCATCATTTGCAAATGTTTTTTCCCATTCTTTAGATTGTTTACACTGCTGGTAGTTTTTTCTGCTGTGCAGAAGCTCTTTTCATTTTATTAGGTCCCCTTTGTCAATTTTTGTTTTAGTTTCAATTGCTTTTGGCATCTTCAACATGAAATCTTTGCCAGGGGCTATGTCCAGAAGTGCTTCATAAGCAAAGGTGAAACAAGATCTTTGCAGGCAAGCAAATGCAAAGGGAATTCATTACCACCAGATTTGCCTTACAAGAGTTCCTTAAGGGAGTGCTAAATATGGAAATGAAAGACCATTACAAGCCACCACAAAAACACTTCAGTACATAGACCATTGACACTATAAAGCAACTATACCATCAAGTGTTCATAACATGCAGCTCACAACATGATGACAGGATTGAACCCACACATATCAATATTACCCTTGAACATAAACAGGCTAAATGCCCCCCTTAAAAGTAAGCATAGAGTGGCAAGTTGGATAAAGAAGCATGACCCAAGTCTCTGCTGTCTCTGTGAGAACTATCTCCCATGCAATGATATCCATAGGCTCAAAGAAAAGTGATAGAGAAAAATATACCTAGCAGATGGAAAACAAACAAACAAACAAAAAATGCTGAGGTTGTTATTCTAATTTCAGACAAAACAGAGTTTAAACTAACAATCAACATACAAAAAAGGCATTACATAATGATAAACATTGTAATTCAATAAGAATACTTAACTATCCTAAATATACATGTTCTCAACAGTGGAGCACCCGGATTCATAAACAAGTTCTTACAGACCTACAAAGAGAATTAGATAACTACACAGTAATGGTGGGAGACTTCCACACCCCACTGATAATATTAGGCAGGTCGTCAAGGCAGAAACTAAAAATAAAATTGAGAACTGAACTTGACACTTGGACAAATGGACCTAACAGACATCTACAGAATACTCCATCAAACAACAACAGAATACAGAAGCATTCTTCTCATTTTCACATGGCACATACTCTCAAATCAACCATATGATTGGCCATAAAACAACTCTGAAGAAGTTCAAAAAAAAATTATACCAACCACACTCTTAGACCATAGCATAAAAAATGGAAGTCAATACTAAGAAGTTCTCTCAAAACCATACAATTACATGGAAATTAAATAATTTTCTCCTGAATGATCTCAGGGTAAACAATGAAATTTAAGCAGAAATCCAGAAATTCCTTGAAACTAATGAAAACAAAGATACAACATACCAGAATCTCTGGGACATAGCTGAAGTAATGTTAAGAAGAAAGTTCACAGCATTAAGTGCCACCCCACACATCAAAACCTGGCAGAGATACAACAGAAAATGAAAACTTCAGGCCCATATTCCTTTGAAAGAATTAATAAAATTGAGAGACCACTAGCTAGACTAATAAAGAAAAAAGAGAAAATCTAAATAAACACGATCAGAAATGACAAAGGGGTCATCATCACCAATCCCACAGAAATACAATCATCCCTCAAAGACTATTAAAAACACCTCTATGTACACAAACTAGGAAACCTAGAAGAAATGGATAAATTTCTGGAAAAAATACAACCTCACAAGATTGAACCAGGAAGAAATTTAATCCCCAAACAGACCAATTATGATTTCTGAAATTGAATCAGTAATAAAAAGCCTACCAACCAGTAAAAGCCTTGGACCAAATGGATTCACAGCCAAATTCTACCAGATGCATAAGAAAATCTGGTACTATTCCTATGGAAACTATTCCAAAAAATTGTGGAGGGGGGTCCTCCCTAACTCATTCTAGGAGGCCAGCATCATTCTGATACCAAAACCTGGCAGAGACATGACAAAAAGAGATAACTTTAGGCCAATACCCATGGTTAAAATAGATGGAAGAGTCCTCAACAAAATATTAGCAAACTGAGTCCAGCAGCACATTAAAAACCTAATTCCCTATGATCAAGTAAGCTTTATTCTTGGGATGCAAGGTTGATTCAACATACACAAATTAATAATCATAATTTATCACGTAAACAGAACTAAAAAGAAAACCATTTTGTTTTCAAAATCATTTCAATAGATGCAGAAAAGGCTTTCAATGAAACTTAACATCACTTCATGTTAAAAACCCTCAACAAACTAGGCATATCTCAAAATAAGAATTTTCTATGACAAACCCACATCCAACATCATCCCAAATGGATAGAAGCTGGAACCATTACCCTTGAGAATTGGAACAGATTGAAAATGCTTACTCTTACCACTCCCATTCCACCTAGTGCTCAATGTCTTAGCCAGATCAACCCAAATTCTGTTTTCTACAGGACGAGTAGCTCTACCATCATTGAAGAGTGAATTATTAAGTAACACTGTTTTACATCTTCCTCACTCCTCTATCTATTTCTTAATCAGATCCAAGGCTTGGGTACCAAAGAGAAGCTTTACTTAGTCCCATAGAACCCCAACAATAGTCATTATATAATTGTTGAAAATACATAATACTAGGGATTTATATTAGTATTACTTCTTCAAGGACCTGACATTTTTGAAGTTCCTTTCCATTTTTGCTCAGATCACTGTCCAATCTGCTCCTTAATTTTTCTAACAAATGATTTGATTTTTTTTCAGACTTATAAGTATGCATCTGTAGTTTGTTAGAAACTTTAATTTTTGTATACTAAAAATAATTTTAAAAATGTATGCAAACCTAACATGTTATCACAAAAATTGCTAATCACCCCAACACACTGGAAAAGTTTCAACCTAGAAGAGAGAAAAGGTAAAGTCCAATCTTGCTCCTTCTCCCTCTTTGAACTCTGCATTAAGGAAAAACAAGGAGAACACAACCTTCTTTCCCTTCTCAGTTGATGGGACAGGTAGAACAATTAAAGTTTTAAAACCTGCTAGGATCTCAATAATTGAAAATGTTTCTGAAGTTATGGAGTCTGCACATGCTGAGAATAGGAGAACTGCTCCCAAGTGATGAAGTGGAACTTGATATAGACTATATTATTTGATGTGCCCTTGTGGTTTTCTTTAGACAAGACATACTATACAAATATGCTAGAATAAAAGTTGACTACTACTTTAATAGTTTGAACTTGTTATGGTACTAACATAAAATAGAATTAAAATAGACAAAGGAAAAGTAACCTCTATACGTTAACCAATATGTATCTTGCTTAATGTTTTCTTAAACGTGAGGTCAAAATGGAGCACAGCCCTTTTTATTTATTTATTTATTTTTGAGACAGAGTCTCGCTGTGTCACCCAGTCTGGAGTGCAGTGGCACGATCTCTGCTCACAGCAAGCTCCACCTCCCGGGTTCGCGCCATTCTCCTGCCTCAGCCTCCCGAGTAGCTGGGACTACAGGTGCCCGCCACTATGCCCGGCTAATTTTTGTATTTTTAGTGGAGACGGGTTTCATTGTGTTAGCCAGGATGGTCTTGATCTCCTGACCTCGTGATCCGCCCGCCTTAGCCTCCCAAAGTGTTGGGGTTACAGGCGTGAGCCACTGCGCCCGGCCGAGCACAGTCCTTTTAAAACTAGTTTGTATTAAAGGTTTGTGCCCACAATGATTTGTTTTTTATACTCATTTTATTTTATAAAAAGAGAAATGCATATTCATAAGAAATTAGGAGGTAAAGCCTGGAAGTGAGATATTCAAATAACTCTTTTTCTTTGGAAACTCCCTCAGGCTATCATGATTGATTACTCCTAATTTCCTTTTGAAACAAAATGTCAGGCATAGATCCTTAACAGAACTTGAGCTTTAAGTGTTTTGCCGGATCAGTGACTAGAGTTGAAATAAAATCTTTAGAGTGGGTAATAGAAAAACATTTTAAAATCAGCCTGAATTTTTTCCAAACACTTTGGAAAAAATTATAATAAATATTATTTATTGAAACTTTTAACAACTTAAGCATAAATGTATATTGATGGTATGGACAGGTTTTGTGGCCGTTCATAGCACGAATAAAAAGGAAAGACAAATGAACACTGTTCATAATCTATAACTAATTATTTGCATTATCACAACATAAAGAGATGCTATAACACTAAATGATTATTGGAAAAATATTAATAGGTGGTTAAAAATAGTGAAATTTAGATTTCAATTATCTAATCTATATTGAGAGTTGTTTTGTATAAAAATGACTGAAATCGCATATCTTTTACAAAATTAAGATGAAGTGAAAGTTTTGAATAGATTATCTCTCAACTAAGTAAATTTTTAAAACAACATTTTTTTAAAAAACTGCCTTAAGCAGTTAAAATTTCTTCCCTGTTTAAGAGTTATATTTTTGCCTTCACTAGATATTAACTCATTAATCTTTTGTAGAGTGTAGTTTCTGAGACATTTGTTCTTGCTGGCTCCCAAAACTTGTCAAGTCACTTAACTGTTCTGTGTCTTCGCTCTGACCTCTACCGCCCTCACAACCCATCTCCCATCCATGCCACTATACATATAAACTAAAAGTTGAGCTGCCTTCTACCTTTAATGTATTGACATTAGTGGTATTTTGAAAAAGTTAGTGTCTTCATATCGGATTCCAAAAATCTTTAAATGCATGCTTTCCAAAAATTTCAATGGTAGGCATTTTGTCTGTATTGACAGCAAGAAATCATCATCATCATTATTATCATCATCCTTATAATTTATTGAGCTCGTATTATATAAAAACCACTTAAAACCCCATTATATATTGTTGAATTTAATCCTGATAACATTCCATATGGGAGAGTATCCCATAATACTCTCATCACAAGATAATTTAATTGCATCTGAAAAGTTGTTTTGAATTTAAGATACCATGTATTACTGTGGTCTCATGTTGCTAATGAAGACATACCCAAGACTGGGTAATTTGTAAAGGAAAAAGGTTTAATTGGCTCACTGTTTCACATAGCTGAGGAGGCCTCATAATCATGGCGGAAGGCAAAGGGGAAGCAAGACATGTCTTACATGGTGGCAGGCAAGAGAGCTTGTGCAGGGGAACTCCCATTTAAAAAACCATCAGCTTTCATGAGACTTATTCACTACCACAAGAACAGTGTGGGGCAAATCACCCACATAATTCAATTATCTCTATCTGGCCATGTCTTCGACATGTAGGGATTATGACCATTCAAGGTGAGATTTGGGTGGGGACACAGCCAAACCATATCATACCATATTCACAGATGCAGGGAATTAGGATATAGACATCTTTGGGGGACCATAATTAAGCCCTCACAATAACATGGTATAAATGACCCTTCAAAACGTTGCTTTTCTTTCTTATCATGTATAATGTTGATGGATATTGTTGTCTAAATCCCTATCTGCATACCAGAGGACAAGATAATGACATAAATAAATACATGTACACCATGTTTACAAAAGTAATAAAATAATAGGCTTACTATAGAAAATAAGACTCATAATGCACTTTTTCTTTCTCCTTGTTATCTAATCTGAAAAACAAATATAATTAAAATATTTATAAAATTCCATAGATTTAATTTTTAAATTGAGAATGTACTTTAATATCATCTATGCCAAATGCTATAGTATGCTTTCTCTTTCATTTGAAGATTTATCAACATAACTTCTCAGAAGTATTTTTCTCGAGATATGTTATTTACTATATATTATTCTGATGCATATTAATATACATTTAACATTCAGTTTTTTTTTAATTTGGAGAAGAAGGACAGAATATAATGTAACAATATGAAGATAAATCAATGATATTAATAAAATTAAGGATATTGAAATCCTATGAAAATAATAAAATATACTTCATATGTATCTGACATGACCAGTAAAAATCATACAAATTAGTTTCCCTCTTGAATTTAATCAGAAAAGATCAAGATACTATTTCCTCTGGTAATTTAGACTGCATGTGAATAACATGTTGTTTTGTGACAACAAGCTTTGTCACTATTTCAGAGAGAATATTGTTGTCTTATGTTTAGTTAAAACCACTGAATTGTTGGGAATATAAATAAAATAAGCTACTTTTTAAAAATGTAAAAATTCCAAGACTTTACTTGAGAAAAGGAAACCAGTTTTCAAAGCTTTCAAAACAGTGTTTTCTACTAGCACTAAAACTTAAATACCCTACATTGTAATGTTAGAATGATGTAAAAAGAATACATTAATCTTTTCATAGCTTTAGTATATGACATTTCTCTTATATGTTGTCTTAGTGAGACTAGGTTCTCTATTACTATTACATTTAAGAATAGATTTTCTTTGGAGATAAATTTATTCTCTCAACAAGTCTACAACTAGAAATCTGCAGCACATTTTAAAATGTTATTTCCTTCCACCTTGGTCTCCCATATTGCTGGGATTTTACAGGTGTGAGCCACCATGCCTGACTGCCAATTGTTATTTTATGTTTGTAACATTAGATTCTCAGGTGACCATGGTCCCAAGTATAAAGGTCAGGTTTAGTCTTATCTGCCACAAGCATTATTTTAACATTACACAATGAGATTGATCCAAAAGGAAGTAAAAATCATTCTCTAATGACAGAAACATCAACATGTATTTTCTCTTAATTCTCACCAACTAGTGAGATTTCATTAGCATTTCCATTTTATACATTAGGAAAACAAGATTCGTTGTTTCAGTCTGCAGTACTATTAAATGACAGAGTTGGTATTTAAATTCTCATCCTCTTGGTTGAAACTCCATATTTTCATTACTCCATGATGCCACAAACAAAAATAGTTCAAGGCTTGAATCCTGCCCAAGAGAGATACAGACAAAAATGACAAAAAAAAAGTCTAACAAGGTGAGATTTTGTCATGTGGTGAAATGATAGTGGATAAGTAATCAGAATTCTGGGAGTTTAAAAAGAGACTTCAGTGTTGAATAGATATGAGTGAAGGGGATGTTCTAATGACATCGCTGGGTCTTGAGAGATATGTTCTAACAGTGAAACAGGAGTTAAGTAGTCATGGAGGATGTCGGGAAGCATTATGGAAAAGGGAGTAGCAGAAACCAAAATAGCATGTGGACCTGGGATGTTGTTTGCAGGTTAAGGGAAGCACCAATCTATCCAGAGTTCCTTGTAGGTTCTGGAACTCTAGAATGAAAAATGGGCTCAGGTGTGGCCAGTTCGAGACTGAATACACAGACATTGGGCTGACCATATACTAAATTAGACTTCTAACCTGTAGCAAATAGCCTGGGAAGCCAAACCACAGTCTTCACAGCAATCAACCCTAAATGGCTGGGACTTTATCACTAATGGCCAGCTTCCCTACTTTCTTCTTCTGCTTCCAACTTAGGATCAACCAGAGAAAGCCAACTATGCTCTTCAAACCAATTATATACCATGCCCCACTTCTAGCCTGCCTCCAGCTTCCTGGCGCCAAAACTTCCAGTCAGGGCATATCTGAAGTTTTCCTTTTTTCTCCACTGTAAAGTTTTCTATTCCTCTATGTCTGACTTTGAACCTCTATCAAATGCCAATTATAGTGGCTAACTCCCTTGGTATAGGAATCTCTGAATACAATACATAGCTGTTGCCTGTTCTTATTTGGATGTAAGGTTAGGCATGAGATGAGAGTCCAAGAATATGGTAGAGAAATGGAAATCATAAAGAAAAGTGACGGAAGATTTAATCCTCAACAATTTGCGTTTTTTCTCTCTACAAATATTTACTGTGCCACCACTTGGCCATTTACTTAGAATCTTCTGGATAACTTTTGATTCTATGAATAATAGATTTTTCATAATAATGAATATCACCACCATACTCATGTACACTTTCTCAAACTTTTATTCCTGTTACATAGTTGATTAGTGGAGGAGACAGTTATTGGTCCTTCTTTCTTAATTAGATGCATGAACGCTATATGATATCCAGAGGACCAGGGATTTCTCTCTCTCTTTTCCTTTCTTCTCTAGTGAAGCCAGTTAAAGGCAGCAACTTTGGAAAGCACATTATTTCTACAGACTGCTGGAGAAATATAATTTAAAACAACATTCCCTCCCAATCCAGAAAACCTCTCCACAAAGACAGAAGAGGAAGAAAACAATTTTATTATTAAATAAGCATTAAACCAGAATATGACGCACACCACAAGCATTTGACTAAGATTGCAAAGACAGAAACATTTTTTGTAGCCAAGTAGATAGAACTCATTACAAACATGTTCTCAAAATAAACAATAGCTATTCCTCAAGTAAGAGAACTTGACAGCATCATTTGTCACACAGAGTTTACCCTAAATTCACTTGGTAATTGGGGTGACCATCTGTGTTAGCCAATTGGCTTTTTGGAAGGGAAAAATAAAATTTTCATATATTTGTGAGGAGGTAGTTTTGCAACTTGGCATGAAGAACCCATTCTAAGTTGTTAGGCTCCTGGGCTTACGCTTCTACTTGTTAAGTTAGGCTCCCAAGTTAGACTCCTACCGTTCTGCAGAAACTGGAAGATAGAGGTACTAACTCCCTTGATGATTACATTTTAAAAAGTGGTTTGTGGGTCATTGAGAAAAATATACACTGGTTATACAGCTTGCAGGAGGTTTATTTAGCTTTTACAAATATTTACTTATAGTTTAAAGATACAGAGAAAACTTACAATAACAAGTTCTAAAGCAAATGCTCTAAGAAACAAGAGAAGAGAAATTTCTTTCTTTATTTTCAACTGGGAGTAGTAAATCACTTTTTGAAAATTTAAAATTTGCATTTTCACTTATAAAGACCTGAAACTTGGCCAGGCGCGGTGGCTCATGCCTGTAATCCCAGAACTTCGGGAGGCTGAGGCGGGCAGATCACAAGGTCAGGAATTTGAGACCAGCCTGACCAACATGGTGAAACCCTGTCTCTACTGAAAATACAAAAATTAGCCAGGCGTGGTGGCACGTGCCTGTAATCCCAGCTACTCAGGAGGCTGAGGCAGGAGAATCGCTTGCTCGGGAGGTGGAGGTTGTAGTGAGCCAAGATTGCACCATTGCACTCCAGCCTGGGTGACAGAGCGAGACTCTGTCTCAAAAGAAAAACAAAACAAAACAAAACACGAAGCTTTTTCATGTATAGCTGTTCCAAGCATCACGTTAGGAATCCCATTTTGTCTTTCCACCTATGCTACATTTTTCTACTTAGTCTTCAAAAATAATGAAGTTGACATTTGGCTGTTCCATCTGCTGTCTTTGTGCCTTTGTTTCTCAGACATGCATGGGGGAAAAGGTAATACTGAAAGATTCCTCAAACCCCAAAACATTTCGTATGTGGGTTTTCCCCCTATTAATGCAAAGAGGTAGCTTCAGGATCAGCATAATTAGGATTGGGAAGAGGTCAGTCACACTTTGTGGAATTCTTTTCCTTACATGGCTGAGTTCCAAATGTGTTTTTGTCTTATTTCCCTCTTGTGGTATATTTAAATCAATCGAGTGTGGTTCTTTCCTATTTATTTTATTTCTGTCAGTAAACTACGTTCCCCTTTATCTTATAGAACAAGATACTCACCATAACCTTTAACAAACTTTTAAATACTTATTCTTCTCTAATTTGTATTAAAAATTCCAAAATGCAATTGCAAACATACTGTATTTAAAAAGTAGGAATGGAGTGAGATGCCAAAGCTGGAGACATAGAATTGAATGCCATGAGATCATAACCTAAATGATGAGAGAAGATCATTTCACCACTTGAAAGAGGACATGAAATAGGATCAGAGGGGAAACTCTCAAACCTCAGGGAAATTAAAGTAGAAGAAAAATTAGGAAAGAGGTATGAGCAATGCTAATGCTGGGACAAAATTAGGAGGTTGCAGTGTTCCTGAGTTCAATAAATGATAGAATTTCAAGAACATAGGGCCATATATACTGCCATATTCCACAGACTGGGCAAGTAGAAACCTGAGTAATAACTCATTATTAGACAAGGAAGAAGTCATTAGGTTAATGTGAGATTTTAATTTTTGTTGAGAAAAGTCAGAGAAAAGGAAATTTAGAGAGAAAATCTGGTACAATTGTGTGATAAAACTTGATAGATTAATTCTGGGGTAAAAAGGAGCAGAAAAATTATGCTTAGGCGGTACGTTAGATATAAGAGTTATCACCAGTGTCAAGATCTGTGTTGAGTTAGTTGTGAACCTTAAAATTTGGGACAAATTAAGGATCACAAAACGTGATCAAGATTGTCCAATATTGAGAAATTTTATTAATTTCATAGAGCTACCTGGATTGAATAGGAGGCAGAGCAAGGAATGCCACTAAAGTCTTCAAGATGGGAATTTGAACAAGAATTGAAATGCTTGAAGTGTTGATTTTCTCATGTTTGAAAGTGACCCATCTTTCCTTTTATTCAGGTCATTCTTAATGACGTTCAATAAAGTTATAATTTTGCCTATAGAAAGAAATACTTTTCCTTTGGTTTTAAAAAGCCTTCCTAGTAAGATACAATTTATATATTTAAATGTACACACATAGTAGGTGTGTAGCTTGATGAATTTTTGTAGTTGCTTATAGTAATCTAGCAGTGGCTTTAAATTATGTATTTAAAATTGTTGTTTTCTGTTATTTCGTATACAGAAGTGCATTTAACTTTTGGAGTCTCTGATAGCCCCAAATTTTGCATAATCTCTTATTCTAATGTATCATCTTTAGTTCTGTATCATGATAGCTTTGTTTTGGTATTAGCATGCTTTATTATTTTCATTTCTTTTTTCTTTTTTATTGTACTTACAATGCTCTTCAGTATAATGTTACATAGAATTGGCGATAGTAATGTTTGCTCTTATATTTCCTTCTGTCTCCTGCTTAGGAATTTAACTTGATTATCCTTTTTCAGTTTCTTGTAATAAGTAATTGATTTTCAACATTTCAAATTGTATAATTTATGCATTGAGAGCTAAATATTTTTCTCTGAACTTTAGTTGTGCTGTAAGCTTTATCTTCTTATTCTCCTGAAGACAATATTTCTCTTTTTCCTCATTCCACTCTTAGAATTTTTAACTTTGACTTTACAGTAGTTTTTCTTAATGTGTCTAGGTGTTTTCTTTTCCTTTCTCTTGCTTAGATATTACGGAGTTTCTTGAGTTTGTGCCACAGTGTCCTTTGTTATTATTGGAGAAGTCTCAGACATTATCTATTCAAATATTGCTGTAGCCCAATTCTTTCTCTCCTCTCCTTCTGGATTTCTACTCTCACGCATGTTACACATCTCCATTGCATCTCATAGGCACCTCATGCACTTAAAAATAAATTGTCTGACTTTTGTTTCCTGTTTCAATTTCAGTATTTGCTACTGATATATCTTTTGTTCTCTAATCTCATGTTCTTCTTAATAACACATAAATTGTTAATTAGATGTATACATTTTTCAGTTCTAGAATTTATTTTTGACTCTATTTAGTATTTTCTTAATCTCTGAGAAAATTCTCTGTGTTTCCTACTAAAAGTTTTGGGACATTTTCACCAATTATATATCCAAATTATATTTCAACCCACCCTTTTTCTCCTTTTCTGAGAAGACTGTAATGACACATATATTAGGTCTTTTGTGACAGTCCCTCTCCCACAGGCCCCTGAAGTTCTGTACAATTTTTGATTCTATTTTCTCTCTGTTGTTCCAATTGGATACTTTTTATTGTTCTGTCTTCAAGTTCATTTATTCTTTTTTCTGCCTTCTCTGATGTTCAGGCTGCTATTGAAGTTTTTTAAACAATTTTTTTAGTTGTTTGCATTTTAAGTTCTAAAATATTCATTTGATTCTTCTTTACATGCTCAATTTATTTTCTGTGACTTTCTATTTCATCATTTATTTTAAGCATGTTAATATTTGCTCATTAAAAATTTTTATGATGGCTGCATTAAAATCCTTGTCAGATAATTCCTATAGCTGCACCATCTTGGTTTTGTCATCTATTGATTATCTTTTGTTATTCAAGTTGAGATTTTTGTTGCTGTTGTCGTGATGAAGGATCTTTTATTGTATTCCGGGCATTTTGCACATCATGTTGGAAGACTCTGAATACTATTTAAGTTTCATGTTTTAGCAGGCCCGTGCAAACATTACACCAGTGGAAGAAGGTGGAGTGCTGCCTTGTTATTAAAGATGGAGGCTATAGTCTTGGTTTTTCACTTGACCTTTTTGACATGCAAGAGGTGGGTATGGGTACCTTGCTACTTCTGAGCAGAGATGCCAACTTGCTGGCTGGAGGAGATGCCCCTTGCTCTTGCTCCCCATATAGCTTCTCCTGGCAAGATGGTGGTGGGGTATGGCTTGTTACCATTGGATGGTGGCGAGGTTTCCAGGTTTCCATTTGGCCTCCTCTGACAGTAGCAAGGAGGGGTAGGGGTGTCTCATTACTGCTGCGGGAGGGGGATGAAAGCCTGGGATCTCTACATGGCCTCCACCAACACTCTAGAGCACAGGCAGGGTTGGTTATTGACAGACAAGGATGAAACGCCCAGCTCTTCACTCAGTCTTCTTTTACATGAGACCAGTTGAATTTCTTACAGGATTGGCAGTTGGGCTGCAGAATTTTCCATGGTGTTTTCTGTGATAAGGTAGTTATTTTCTGAAAACAAAATTTTTTTGGTCTTATTACATTGCTCCTGTCATTGTCCTTTAGTTAAAAACACAAGACTTTTCTAGGAACCTATTTTTGTGTGCTCCATTGGCATTTGGGGTTGATGGCTTTGCTAGCATCCAGTCTGGGATATGTGAGGCAAAAGGGAAACCCAACACACTTACAGGTATGCTCTTTC
Organism: Homo sapiens; assembly: GCF_000001405.40. NCBI lineage: Eukaryota > Metazoa > Chordata > Mammalia > Primates > Hominidae > Homo > Homo sapiens. The sequence goes on from NC_000007.14 coordinate 145,502,647, forward strand.
TCAGGTGCTGAAGTCCCTAGTCAGTCTGCCTTTTTCTCTCCACTATTCAGAGGCTTTATACTTATGACTTATAGATATTGTCTGGAATTTTTAGCTGAACTCAGCAGGAATTGGGGAATGTGTCTACTTCATCTAGGCCTGAATATTACTTTAAATATTAAAACATACTGTTAATGTATTTTTCCACACTCAAGTATCTTATTTATTTTGAGTATCTTTTCAGAGGTCCAAATTGATGATTACGTATGTTATCTCCTCATAAGCACTGTGTGATATCCCTCTGAAAGATGAAATTCTCTGTAGTGTCAGCATACCCGCAACCATAAGAACAGAAACTAGAACTGAATGAACCAATTTTACGCAGAGAACTACTCTTTTTTTCCTGATTCTAACTAATAAGTCAAGTAATCTGAGACAGAACTCCAGGATATCAGAAGTGTGGGTGATACTTTCCAGGAAAAAATTAAATGTCTTTAAATAACTTCGAGAGTTGTAGTTAATTGAAGACAATGAATCTGAACTCTGAGACTATGATATTGTGCCATATGGCCCACATGTGCCAGGCTGTGATTGGTTGTTCCACAGTGTAGATAAATGTCTGTAGTGTTGTAGAAGTTAGAAACTTGTGAGATTGTGAAGTGCACTGATAATGAAAATGCTTAAAATTGCACCAGTTGATAGCAAGTAGAGAAAACTATGAATCAAATGTTATGCCATTTTTTTGGAAAGTGTAGAGAGAAGCAAATACTATTAAAGATGGCCTCCCTCTACTGAATGTGGAGAGTGAAATATGTCGAAACTTTTACAGGAGAGGTCAGCAGGAGAGGAGTTAAGGTGTCTTCAAGTCTCATTGATTAAAAAAAGGGATAAAGGTGAAAATTTGTTACCTCTGGGTGTCAAATGGTGGCACCTTCTCCTATTAGCATTAATAGTGTTCCACAAAGAAAACAGAAGAGAATAATAGGTGAAATATTTGGCAGAACAGAGAGGAAAGTCGAGGAAGTAAAACAGATGACTAAGGTATTTGAAGAACAAGAGCCTTGTATCAGCAATTGTGGATAGAGGATAGAGCCCTGCCTCAAACTCTGTCACATCAACTATTAGCAAATCAACCTCAAATATATTATTTAATTTTTGGAACACTGATGTGTATAATCTTTACCTGTTGGATTTGAAAAGTTATACTCCTAGTTTGGAATAAGGAATTGATATACTTCCAAAGAGATAGTCAAGAAGCCTGCTCTAAAGAAAAGGTAATAATTTTGTTCTTTTATATGCATTTTTTAAAAAAAATTATTTCCCTTGGTAATGATTGTTTCCTTTTGAATAGTTCTAGTTATATTGTATCCTCACTTGGGATTGTAAAATATTTATTGCAAAAATATTGACCTTCAACTGAATATTTTTAAGATATTTTCGATTATTCCTCATTTTCTCTGTCCCCTTTTAAGGTGTTTTTCTTTTTATTCACTTTCACTCAGTATCAGACTATCTGTCATTTATCATGGTACATTTACTGTGAACTGAATTTCACCAGCCAGTTCTTGATGACTCTGTCTACCTGCAAGACAATGCAATAAATCACAAGGAAACACCCCCATTAAATATATATTTTTATGAAATTTTTGAAAACCATAAATTAAATTTTTTTAAGTCTTAAAATTACAAGCACAATAGTTCCATTCCCAGATACAATGGAATCAGCACACTCCACCCTGTCTCTCCCACTGAATGCACTGTAAAACCTTCACATAATGCATAGAGCAGCTATTTGAAGATGAACTCTCACCAACCTGGCTGTGAGTTTACCACTACTTTTCCTCCAGTATACCCTGGCCTGGACATAAGGTCACCCAAAACCAGGAAGTTGGCACTGGCAGTAAAGAGATAACTCCAACAGAAGCCATGTAGTTATGGCTTAAGGAAAGGAGGCTCCTAAATCTAGAAAAAGTGAGAAAATTTCTCCCATGTGTTTTATCTTCTTTCACATGCACACTAGCTCTAAAGCAGTTTGGCTACAGGGATTGTGGTGGTAGCAACAGTTGCAGCAGAAGCAGTCACCTGAAATTCTGAGGAAAGAAGCTCTTCCACTCTAATCAGAGAAACTGGAGTCCCAAGGGGACGGGTTCAGCTTCCATTGTTTTTTATTTATTTGTTTGTTTGTTTTGAGACGGAGTTTCACTCTTGTTGCCCAGGCTAGAGTGCAATGGCATGATCTTGGCTTACTGCAACCTTGTCTCCTGGGTTCAGGCGATTCTCCTGCCTCAGCCTCCCAAGTAGCTGGGATTACAGGCATCCACCACCACACCCAGCTCATTTTTGTATTTTTAGTAGAGACAGGGTTTCACCATGTTGACCAAGTTGGTCTCGAACTCCTGACCTCAGGTGATCCACACACCTCGGTCTCCCGAAGTGCTGGGATTACAGGCGTGAGTCACCCCACCTGGCCCATTGTTTTTATTCTGTGTTGTGCTGTTTGATTGCATTTTCAGGAAGTACCTAGTGAATGAGTGAATAAAGCCATAGCTTTCTGGCCAGAAGACAGAAAAATGAGTCCCAGGGAGTTAGAATGTGTTAGAGATATCACAGAGAGGTAAAAGCTCAATATAGCAACGTCATAGCCATTTATGAATTTCTGAGATCACCTCTAAGATGAATGTATGTAAAGCTAATCTAATGCAGCATGCAAAGTATTTGAGATTTGAACTAAGACAGAAACCACTGCCCAGGTTCCAGACTATCCAGTGGGTAGTGCACATGCAGAACACATCCAAATATCACTGAAAAGACTTTGAAATGTAAGTGAGGTGGACACCACAACCAAAAGAGAAGACTGGTTACAACTTGTAGCTCAAATCCAATCAGGTGGTTAGCCTGCAACAACAAAAATGGTCAACACTCTTTATAATATTTAAACAATATCCAGAGCTTCAAAACATAATATGCAAAATGTTTAGTATACAATCTAAAATAACCCAACATATTCAGAACCAGTAAAACTGAAATCACACACACACAACACTCAACAGACACCAATACTGAGAAAGCACAGGTGTTAAAATTATCTGATAGACTTTAAAACAAGTTATGAAAATGCTCTAAGAAGTAAGTTCAAACACACTTGAAATAAATAGAAAGACAGAGTCTCAGCAAAGATTTAGATAGTGTGAGGAAAACCCAAATAGAACTTTTATAACTGAAAAAATACAGTAACAACAACAACAACAAAAAACTACTCTTGCTGAATTGACTCAATAACACAATGGAGATGATAGAGGGAAGAGGCAGTGAACTGGAAGATATATTAGTAGAAAGTATCCATCTGAAAAACAGCGAGAAAAAAGATTTAAAGTTATTAGCAGATACTCATGGACCTAATAAGGTAAATTATAATGGAGACCGGGCCTGAAGAATCCCATAGCAGTTAGACCTAAAACCATAAAAACCCTAGAAGAAAACCTAGGCAATACCCTTCAGGACGTAGGCATGGGCAAGGACTTCATGTCTAAAACACCAAAAGCAATGGCAACAAAAGCCAAAATTGACAAATGAGATCTAATTAAACTAAAGAGTTTCTGCACAGCAAAAGAAACTACCATCAGAGCGAACAGGCAACCTACAAAATGGGAGAAAATTTTCACAACCTACTCATCTGACAAAGGGCTAATATCCAGAATCTACAATGAACTCAAACAGATTTACAAGAAAAAAACAAACAACCCCATCAAAAAGTGGGTGAAGGATATGAACAGACACTTCTCAAAAGAAGACATTTATGCAGCCAAAAAACACATGAAAAAATGCTCATCATCACTGGCCATCAGAGAAATGCAAATCAAAACCACAGTGAGATACCATCTCACACCAGTTAGAATGGCAATCATTAAAAAGTCAGGAAACAACAGGTGCTGGAGAGGATGTGGAGAAATAGGAACACTTTTACACTGTTGGTGGGACTGTAAACTAGTTCACCCATTGTGGAAGTCAGTGTGGCAATTCCTCAGGGATCTAGAACTAGAAATACCATTTGACCCAGCCATCCCATTACTGGGTATATACCCAAAGGATTATAAATCATGCTGCTATAAAGACACAGGCACACGTATGTTTATTGCGGCACTATTCACAATAGCAAAGACTTGGAACCAACCCAAATGTCCAACAACGATAGACTGGATTAAGAAAATGTGGCACATATACACCATGGAATACTATGCAGCCATAAAAAAGGATGAGTTCATATCCTTCTAGGGACATGGATGAAACTGGAAACCATCATTCTCAGCAAACTATCACAAGGACAAAAAACCAAACACCGCATGTTCTCACTCATAGATGGGAATTGAACAATGAGAACACATGGACACAGGGAGGGGAACATCACACTCCGGGGACTGTTGTGGGGTGGGGGGAGGGGAGAGGGATAGCATTAGGAGATATACCTAATGCTAAATGATGAGTTAATGGGTGCAGCACACCAACATGGCACATGTATACATACATAACAAACCTGCACATTGTGCACATGTACCCTAAAACTTAAAGTATAATAATAATAAAATTAAAAAAAAAGAATCCCTTAGCAGGCAAACCCAGTTAGCGATCTAAACCCTGCTTGATTTGCAAACATAAACGAAACTTAATTTGAGCTATTTCTTGTAAATGCTTTAAAGAAAAACAGAATTCTAGCTCAACTGATCAAAAGCAGCCAACAGACAAAATTATGTAGCTAGAGACTTTCCAACAGGGTAGGCCAAATAAGGCAACTGTATAACTGTAACCAATCAAGTAATTTCTTTATTGTGTTTCTGCATTTTCCCCATAAATATTTGTCTCTGATGCTTTGTCATCAGAACTCAAAACCTCTGTTGGATTGGTGTTCCCCAATTCATGAACTACTTCTTACTCAAATAATTCTTAAAAATTTTTATCATGGCTGAGTTTATCTTTTTTAAAGATCAAAAGATAAAACTGTCATCAAAATCCCACTAGATAATGTGAAAAATATATATATTTGAAAAATAATATCTGAAAACTTCCCAAATTCGATGAAAGACATAAACCTGTAAACTCAAGAAACTAAGCCAAATATAAACTCAAGTGAATCCATGCTCACACATATCTTAGCCCAATAATAAAAACTAAAGCAAAAAAAAAAAAACTATCGATAACAAAACACCAGAGAAAAATGACACTTATAGAAGGCAATTAGAATGATTGCTGATTTCTCATCAGAAACTATGAAGATGAGAGTGAAGTAAAACACCATTTTTAAAGTGCTGAAGAAAAAACCCTCAGTATCCTATATTAAATAGAAACATCCTTCAAAAATGATAATAAAATAAATACAGTTGACAGAAAAATAAGAGAATTTGTAGCTGGGATACCTACTCTAAAAGAATTGCTAGTGCAAGTTAATAAGCCAATGAAAATAATACCAGAAAAAATTTGGAATGTAAAAAGTAGAGAAGCTATATAAATTATAAGTATCTAGGTGTATTTTTCTCCATTTCTGTTGTAACGGATCACCATAAACCTTCTGACTTCACACAGCACGAATTTAGTATCTCATACTAGGTCAGTGATCTGGCACAGTGTGACTGGATCCTCTGATCAGAGATTCACAGGGCTGTAATTGAGCTGTCAGTTAGGGCTATGGTTCACTGGAGGTTGAAGACCTTTTCTTCCAAGCTGATTGGTTGTTGGAAGACAATATTTTCTTCTGATGTTTCCATGTGGACCCCTACATGTTCAAGCCAACAGTATTTTGAGTTCTACTTGTGCTTCAAATATCTCTCCCTTCTCTTTCTGTCACCAGACAAAGATTTCTGCTCTTCTGGCCTTTTATGATTACACTGGACTCACCTAGATAATCTCCCTCTTAACAACAACTGATTACTAACCTTAATTACATCTGCAAAATCCGTTTTGCTTTTAACATCACAAACATAAAAGTAACACCACAGAATAGAAATCATGAGGGCTAAAATTCTGCATACCACATTGGGTAAATAAAATATACCATTCTCATTTTAAATTATTTATAATATATTTAAGAGTTAAAACATAACGGTAGACAAAGATTTGTGTCTCTTTCTATAGTTACTACCTTTCTTTTATGATTCATTGAAAATTGCCAATTGCTATACTGTCTCAGGATATTTACCTAGTATTGAACAAGAGTCTTCCATTTCTTAACTGCAGTCATGAAAGTATGTAACGACTCTCAACTGAGGTGCTGTTTTTTTTTTTGACAAGTAGCAGAAATCCAAATCTAAGATGTGATAATGAATACAAAAATGTAATTCACCCAGCAATCATTTAGAAGGTAGAATTATTTCAGGGTTAAAAATTCTGTGACTTAACAGAGACCAAGAAACCAAGGTTGATCTTTTGTCCCTTTAATGATCATAATACGATAGTTACTATAATTATTGTATATATTTGTGGGGTTTTTTTGTGATTTCACTTACTAAAATATAAACTTCAAGAGACCATGTCTGTCTCCCTCATCTTTGAACCTGTAGTGACTAGCATAATATCTGGCACAAAGTAGTCATTAAATACATATTTGTTGAATGAGTGAATAAATAAACTTTTAACTTTTCCTTTAATTCTGCCAAATAACAACTGAGAATTTTTGTAAATACAGAACTCTGTAAATTCTGTAAAAAGTATTTACAGAATTTCTGTAAATACTTTAAAAACCAGAATGCCTACAATCAACGTAGATAATTTACTTTGAAGTTTCTAATGTGGCTTGTTTTTATGTAAAAGATTTATAATTTTCAGATCTTGGTTCAAAGTAGGTGTTCATAAGCTTCAGATTATCCAAAATAATCTTAACTTGCATTCACGACTCTTAGTAATTTCTCCATGCCAGGTATAGTATTATCACTAAAAATAAAACAGAGACAAATGTGTATAGATGTCTAGATTAGTGAGGGGACAAACAAGTACAAATACTAAATAATAGACGTTAAAGCAAAAGGTACTCCCATGAAGAAGAATCACTAAATTTAGACTTAAAGAAGTCATAACAGGCTTCTTAAAAGAAGAAATATCTGAGCTAAATTTAAAGAAATAAAGTGAGAAGATGACAGAGTAATTTATTTTGTTGTGTATCTTTAAGCTGTACAACATTATGCTTTATATATTTATACATAGTGAAATGGGTATTTCAGTCAAGTAAATTAACATATTCATTATCTCACAGAGTTACTCTCCCTATTTTTGTGGTAAAAGTTTCAAAAATCTTCTCGGCAAATTACAAGTATACAATATTATTAACTATAGTCCTTATGCTGTACATTAGATAGGAAATGATATCACTCAGGGAAGTATTTACTGTGTAAAAACAGGGGAGCATAATACATTCTTGGAAATCTTTCTACTTATTGTTTTCTAGGTAAGAAATAAGGGAAAAAATTTTAGGAGAATTTAGCCTTCATTTTAAATTAATAGACATGCCAAATAAGTTTCCTATAAAAAGCTTCCTATTTTTCTTTTTCACAGTACCATTTTCTTCTTACATTCTCACAGGAGTATTTTCGTTCCCTTGCTTGTTTTTATAATATACATATATGTGTTTATTTACCATATGTGTATATGTAGTATATGTAAATACATGTTTATGTATTCAAAATATTGTTTTGCAATTTTAAAATTAAGTATCTTTGTTTATTATACTTGTTTTCTTTCAATATTATGTTTGTAAATTTTTATTGATCTTCATTTATGTATTAGTTTATTTTAACTTTTACTGTTATATATTATTACATATACTGTGCTTTATTTGTTTATTCTAATAGTGATGAAATTTTGGGTTGTTTCCAATTTTATCTTTTTTAAAAACAATGCTTCTATGCATATATTTCTTTTGTGCACATGAAGAGAGAATTCTTTAGAAAACATGGCCAGGCATGGAATGGCTGAGACTCAGTGTATGAACATGTTCAAATTTCCTAGACATTTCTTATTGGTTTATCTAATTTGTTGCTGCGATTTCTATGACCACTTCTAGTATATGAGGGATTCTATTTTTTCTCATATTCTTGCCAAAAATTTGCATTTTCAGAGTCTTAAATTTTTAGGAATCAGCTAAATGTCAAACAGTACATTACTGCTCTTTTAATTTGAATGTTCCTGGTTACCAACCATGGTCCAATAATTTGAACAGGGGGAATAAGACTCTTAACTAGGCAATATGTAGTTACAAATGGGTATAGAGGAATTTTCTGCTGAGTGGCTATTCACCCTTGGACTATGTGGGAAAGTTAGTAAGAAAGGAATTGGGAAATTTGAAGGAGGGAGAACAGAAAAACTAATATGTAGAGAGCTGAGGAGAGGACATGGTTGTCACAGAAATATACTGCCCAAGACTGTGGTAACAAGAACATTGGCCTCCACTGTGCCATGAGATTAGGGGCTGCCGCCAAAGTATGAGGATAAAACTTTACAACATTGATTGTTGTGCTAGAAATGTTTCAGCTGTTGAGCTGTGTGAGCCAAGACTATCTGTCAATGTGGTAACAAAGAAACTGGTTGAGTGGACATTACCCTAAACTGCAAAATCAGCATGTGACTAGCAATCTTTCTGGGACCTTGGCATGCCTATCCACTCAGAGTTGCATGAAAAAGAGAACACTCAAAAAAAAAAAAAGTCTACTATTTATCTTCCGGTTTGGCAAAGTCCTTCCAGAGTCCTCTATTTGCAGAGCCTAATATTGATTCAGCTGGCATAAGAGTACTGTAGTTTGAAGAGTCCAGTTTCAGCATCACAAAGCATGGCAAACATGGGTGGGCTTGAAGCTGAAAGGAAATAAATTATAACTGGCACAGTCCACCCCTTTGGCCACTCGCATCAACCCATTCATTTCTACATGAATGTAGACATATATACAACGTCAAAATAACTCTATGTTTCCACCTGTTAAGTTCGATTTCTTCTTTATATAAGTGATGATGAGCCTACCCTTTCCCCCAAATGAAGAGACATGGAATTCCAACAATTGTATTCATGGCTTCCTCAAATTTAGTGACAAGACTCATTGAATATTATCTTACTTAACACTAAATGGTAGAGTTAGCAACCCACAAGCTTGCATAAAATAATTCAGAAAAAAGGGGAGGAGAAAATATTTCATATGTGCATATTAAATATATTCATATTATAAGCAAGGAAAAACTATGTAAAGTTTCTATTCTTTTCATTTCTGTCATTGATCCAAGGCCACTCTTGTTAATTATCATTGCCTTCTGTTCTCCTATATGTCCTTTGCCTTAAATCTAGACCTCAACAGCTTAGAGGTCCTTACCTCATGGAAGGACTGAAACCTTAATTGCTAAAGGGTCTCAATATTCAATGATTTTACTTATTTCAGTTACTGTAGTTTTCTGTGGAACTTTACTAATGAGAAAGGAAATACTTATAGCTACTCAGAGAACTTCCGACTTTTCGACATAGTCTTCCCATTCCCACTGTTAACAGCAACCCAATTTCCCCTTGGTAATTGGGATCAGTCACTCTAGCCAGTAAAGTATTCCCTTATTTTCTAATTGGTTTACTGGAAAAAGGAGCACAGAATGCTTAGCAAAGAGTGTAATATTAGAGTACAATAAAAACTTTGTTACATCCCCTTGTGAAAGCATTCGCCCCCTGGAAATGAAGACCCCCAAACAAGCGGAATTTAAGGTTACCAGATCTGGAAGCAAAAATTTGACGTGTCAAACCTGCACGTTGTGCACATGTACCCTAAAACTTAAAGTATAATAAAAAAAATTTTTGACGTGTAAAATAAAGTAAAATAGTGAGGGAAACCTTTTCCACTTCCATCCCTTGATTCTTAGACCCATGTATTTTTGCTATAGGAGAGACAGAACCATGTAATGGTCTCTGATATAAAATATGTACTGCATCCTATAAGACTCCTGTTCTATCATGTGTTTTTAGGACATTGACTCTTAACTGACACAACTCTTATCTTTATTAAGCCATTCCAACCTTCAATGAGGCCAAGCACTTCTGTGTGATAGGGTACACGGGAAGGCCTTTTAATTACATAGGCAGACGCCCATTGTTGCACTTCCTTAGCATTGCAATTAGTTAATTGATTAGAAGTGATGCTGTTAATACAATTACCTTATTACTGGACATATTCTGGGATATGCATTTCCCTTTCCCATCTGTAATACTGTGTCAGTATTACCATCCATGGACTTGTGGAATATCTTAACCACCATCATGTTACCATTGAAGCTTCATGACCATGCAATTAATTGCCACTATGGCCACTCTGTTCATTAACCCATTGAGTAATCACTGGAAAACCCTGGCATGACTTGGGCAAGAGGCTTATTGACATCCACAGAACGTGCAGTGTTGTCCACTGCAGGAGCATCTCTGGGCGAACATTCAAATAGAACATGAATATCTTCACTATCTACTCATTCTGAGCAGCTCATGAACACATTTCTTCCCTAGACTTCCCTATCACCAACTTTCTAATCCTAATCCTTCCCATCCATCACTATCCAGCCAAACCAATAGCAAGCATACATGAATCCATTAAAAATCATATTTCTGGCCATATTTATTTCAGAAAACATGGGCTACAAAATGTACCACTTGAAAATCTTCCCATTGGGAGTGTTTTTCTTCACTCCAGTCTTTCTGAGGTACAGTTTGAGAGAGAAGCAACTGTCCACTTTCAAATGGTAACAGCATATCTTGCAGAGCGGATTATAATTATAACAGCCTATATTATAACAGAATATCTTGCAGAGCTGATTATAATTGTAACAGCATATATTATAACAGAATATCTTGCAAAGCTGATGATAATAAGGGTTTTCTTTCTTCCCCTTTTATCAACTGGTTATAAAAACAAACTCTCCATGAAACCAAATGCATAAGCTTATATGGAAGAAGAGACAGAAAGAGTAGAGAAATCAGTGCCAAAGGGAAGTGACTTACTTGTACCGGGAAATTATTTGTGCCTTCCAGACCTGCCTAAGCCTCATCTCTTATATACTATTTCCACTTGACGGATCATGGTGCACATGCCTAATCGTGTGGACATATGAATTGTTTATGATTATGATTAGCAGCTCAGGTCTCATTGTCACCTGAAGCCATATACTTACCTATTCATTCTCTACTGAAGCCCATTAGCAAATCAGCAGCAAAAAACAAAAGGTGTGGGTTTTTCTTCAAGAAACCCAAAAGCTACTCAGAGATTCTCTGTTGGTTCTCGTTAGAGGTTCCATACAGAACCCCTCTTTGCCATAGACATTTTCGCTATTATGCGGATCATAACGGCAAAGAGGGATCAGTTTGCATTATAACCTGAACTTGCTTAAGAGCCTTGCCTTGCTCTGATCAGCACTCAAATCTGGCATCCTTAAAAGTGATTCAATAGATGGGCTGAAATAGCACACTTGAACATTGTATATGTTGCCTCCAAAAAAAAAATTGCCTTCCAGGCATTTCCCCTCTTATTTGATGGTAATATAAGTTGCCATGACTTTCTTTCATCTTTCCTGGAATAGCTTCACATTCCAGAGACTATTAGACCCCCTAAACTTCAGTGAAGTGGTAGATGTCTAAATGTTGGTGAGATTTATCTTTTACCCTTTGTTTTACATATAACTTGTCATGAAAATATTTAAAACTTTCATTAATTCTGGTTCAACATATCTAGTCATCCAAACATCATCAACGTGGAGGACCAGTGTAATATTGTGTGGAATGTCAACATGATTAAGGTCATTGTGAACTATTTTATGGCAGAGAGGAGAAAAGATGATGTAGCCATGAGAAAGGACTATGAATGTGTACCATTGGCTTTGCCAGGTAAAAGCAAACTGTTTTTGGTGATCACTGAAAATTGTTATGAAGAAAAAAGCAACAAGTAGAGTTAAAACTGAAAACCAGTTGTTAGAGGCTGTTTCTTTACTCCAGTAAAGTATACTTTTTTTTTTACCTTATTAGATGGAGATGGAGTCTCGCTCTGTCACCAGGCTAGAGTACAGTGGCATCATCTCGGCTCACTGCAACCTCCGCCTCCCAGGTTCAAGCGATTCTCCTGCCTCAGACTCCCGAATAGCTGGGACTACAGGCGCCTACCACCGCGCCTGGCTAATTTTTGTATTTTTAGTAGAAATGGGGTTTCAACATCTTGGCCAGGCTGGTCTCGAACTCTGACCTCGTTACCCACCCGCCTCAGCCTCCCAAGGTGCTGGGATTATAGGCTTGAGCCACCACGCCCGGCCAAGTACACTATTAATTCATCAAAACATGCATTGGAAATAGGAGTTATAACCTAATTAAGTTTATGAAAACTTATAGTTTTTTGAGCTTTCTCCTGGAATATAAATGGAATAAAATCAATTCTTTCTTCAGTTATTTCTATTATTTCTTTTTTTTTTAACAGATCCAGCTCTCGTACATAGATGGTCAATTTTTTTTTCTTTTTCTTCTTCTCCCTTTTTTTTTTTTTTTTTTTTTGAGACAGAGTGTCACTCTGTCACCCAGGCTGGAGTGCAGTGGTGTGACCTCTGCTCACTGCAACCTCCGTCTCAAGTAGCTGGGATTGCAGGCACCTGCCACCATGATCAGCTAGTTTTTGTATTTTTAGTAGAGATGAGGTTTCACTATGTTGGTCAGGCTAGTCTCGAACTCCTGACCTCAGGTGATCTGCCCACCTCAGCCTCCGAAAGTGCTGAGATTAAAGGTGTGAGCCACTGCACCTGGCCTAGTTGGTCAAGTTTTAGACTTGTTTTCAACTTTCATTTATCCATTTAATTTTCCATGTACATAATTACAGTCTTAATTATTACCCCTTTATAAAAATCAAATATGTAGCAATTTAAATAGCCACATACTATTCTTGTAAGTTTCAAAATATCTTCCCAGTCCTTTGTTCTTTTACATAAATTCTAGAATTACCTTTTCAAGTAAAAAAAATTACCTGCGGGAAGATTTGAAGATCGTATGTTTTTATGGATTGCTTGGGGATGATTAATACCATTTTAGTGTTTGGCATCCCCACCAATGTATTCACTCACTCAGGTTCTTTAAAAATAATCTTTTTGTTTGTTTGTTTATGTAAATATTTTCTTTTTTATTTATTTATTTATTTATTATTATACTTTAAGTTTTAGGGTACATGTGCACAATGTGCGGGTTAGTTTCATATGCATACATGTGCCATGCTGGTGCGCTGCACCCACCAACTCGTCATCTAGCATTAGGTATATCTCCCAATGCTATCCCTCCCCCCTCCCCCCACCCCACAACAGACCCCAGAGTGTGATGTTCACTCTAAAAATAATCTTTAAAAATATTTGGAATAATCCAAATAAAGATCTTATACATACTTTATGTAAAGTCAGTCAAGTCACAGTGGCTCAGGCCTGTAATCTGGAGCCCTTTGAGAGGCCAAGGTGGGCAGATCACTTGAGGCCAGGAGTTCCAGTCCAGCCTGGACAACATGGTGAAACCCCATTTCTACTAGAAATACAAAAATTAGCTGGGCATGGTGGCACACACCTTTAGTCCCAGCTACTCTGGTGGCTGAAGTGAGAGGATGGCTTGAGCCCTGGAGGCAGAGGTTGCAGAGAGCCGAGATCATGCCACTGTACTCCAGCCTGGGCGACAGAGCAAGAATCTGCCTAAAAAAAAAAAAATGGCAAATATAAAATCCATTATACTTATAATAGTGAGAAAGAATATAAAGCGCTCCCTTTTAAAATCTACTTCTCTTAAGGAAATACTGATAGTAGGTGGGCATTTTAGTTGTCATTGCCTCTACTACTACCCTCATCTGCTCATATAAGGGAATTTATGAAGTAAAATTGTCACCTAGTTTGTGTGCAGATGTTTTCATAGGTTTTTGGGGTTTTCTATTTTAGCTGTGTATTTTACAGCATGATTTGGGGGTATTTAGAATCAATACCAGTACCATCATCTTCTCTGGTTCTCCTGTATTAGGATTGCTGAGGTGGGGTATTTGCTGGGGGAGAAAATACAGGCCACATTCTCTATGTGATGCTTCTGTATGTAGTTAATAACTTTGCAGAAGTCTTTGGACCTCCAAAGTGAGTCCCACATAAAGTAATGTTAAGGAAACTTTACAGAGAAACATGGTCTCCGTATATATTTCCCTCCTCTCTCACACTGTGCCCAGTGGCTTCAGTGGGACACAGGGTGTTTTTTTGTTTTTTGGTTTTTAATTTACCAGTAATATCAATTTCTGGACCTAAGTGAGAAATTCAAGAATCGGCTTATGGGAAAAAAAAAACTAAATAAAAGTAGACTTATGATATCTTGATTTTGTCAAAAAAAGTATCTTATGTTGCTGTTTTTGTTTCTTCCCTGGCAAAAGCACTATTTGTTATTTATATCCCAGTCATTATCACAGTGCCTGATAATTTAAGTAAATAAAATTAGATCTGACACGTTTTTTTTTTTTTTTTGCAGTGCCTCCTGTGTCCTAGGTATTATGCAAAGGGCTTCAGATATAAAAGCAAATAGGAACAACATGGTGCCTCTTATTTGATCTAATGAAATATTAATAGATTAATTTTGAAAATTCATCAGGCTCACAAGTATTGGTATTTGCCCCCTAATCTTCCCTCACCCTAATCAGAACTAGAAATCTATTACACAATGTTGTAGATCTCTACTCTAATTCACACTTGCGTGTTTAATGCCATCCCCCTCACCGTACCCTCACAAAAGTGTATGTATGCTCATTGTACACAAAGCAGTGGACTTAGTCACTCTTTTTCTTTTAATAGTCATAGCATAGGGCTCAAACATTCAATATTTGCCAGTGTATTAGTCTGTTCTCACACTGCTATGAAGAAATACCTGAAACTGGGTAATTAATAAAGGAAAGAGGTTTAATTGGCTCTCAGTACCACATTGCTGGGGCAACCTCAGGAAAATCACAATCATGGCGGAAAGCAAAGGAGAAGCAGGCACCTTCTTCACAGGCGGCAGGATGGAGTGAGTGGAAGGAGTGGAAATGCCAGAAGCTTATAAAACCATCAAATCTAGTGAGACTCACTCATTATCATGAGAACAGCCTGGGGGAAAACGTTCCCATGATCCTTGACACATGGGGATTATGGGGATTACAATTCAAGGTGAGATTTGGGTGGGAACGCGGAGCCAAACCATATCAGCCAGCCTATTACATTAATGTAAAGGAAGTAGCAACATCAAGCAAGAAATTACAATTAGGAATCAGAAGCAATAGGTCTTAATCTTCATTCTACTATTAACTCATTCTTAAACTTTTAAAGCATCTTCGGTGGCACAGTTGATGGCTGTTGTGAAAACTTGGCTCTTCTCAGTTTAAAATAATTTGAACAAGAGACACACAGCCAAGGAGATGCAACATAGAGCAATTTATTGCAAAGGAGAATGAATGTTCTGAACGTTAGGTGCAGAATGGACAGTACACCCTGAGAGATTTGGGGTGGGCCCCTCATGAGGATGAGACAGCAAAGACTGGCACTAGGGAGACTCCCTTTATAGGAGTCTTACATGATTATTCATAAGGGGATGGGAAAGGGTGTTACTAGTAAGCATGTTCTGGGTGGTCCTCTGGGTGCACATTTGCCATAGCTGTACATGCTTGTTCATACATTGCATGTCTCATTAGCATGTTAAATATCCACCCAGGTTTTTTTTTTTTTTTTTTTTTTTTTACTATTATCATCAGCAAAGGGTCAGCTTGAGGGCAGGTTAAATCAAAATACGCATGCTCTCTACAGGGGAAGTCCCCTACTGGAGACAGCTTACTTGAATGAGCTTCAATACAGTGAAAATGCTGGGACTTACTGCATTGATGGTGTGGACTCCACGGTTGCCACATCCAAAGGACATGATCACTTCCTTGACTATCTAGCCTGCGTCAGCAACTCTGAGGCCAAATTTATATTTATGTGTATATATACACACACACACACACACACATATGTGTATGTTTATGTTTATATTACATATTTTATATATGAGGCCATATATATATAATATAAACATATATGGCCTCATAAACATATATGGCCTCATATGTGTGTGTGTATACACACACGGGGGGCATTTTCAACTAAATTATCTTTGAGAACATATCTCTAGCCTTCTGTTATCAATGTTTGATTGGCTTTGATATTGTTATCTCACACTTCTGGAAACTTGGAGTAAGGCACAAAATCATGTTGACTTTATTGGTAAAACAAATTAATAGCAATAGCTAAGATAAAAAAAGCAATATTAAAGTTATTTTTAAAATAACTAGTATAAAATGAATTAATGGTAAATGCTGAA